>NC_000002.12:16146119-16297634 GCF_000001405.40 Homo sapiens | reverse complement strand
CCTTTAGAAAGGCTAATGGCGTATTATGGGATATTATGGCCCAGTCATGACTACACACCTGGAGGCCTTGTACCTGAACAGCAGGGAAAAAATTCAAAGAGTAAATGGAGTTCAGCATGACAGTCTTGCCAATTCAGATTTATACAAATCTAAATTACCCAAATGAGGGGTTTCGCTGTTATTCTTGACACCATTGCAGAGGATCTTTCTGAACATCTATTGAGATATTAGTTTAACGGGAAAATCTACCATTGTATCTTCTCAGTGAAATCTGATTATCTTCAAGAGGCTTCCTCACATAAAAAGGGGGGCGGGGGGAATCAATGCCTGGGTTTCTCTGCCTAGCATGAAAAATAATTTTCTGCTATAGGGTAATTTTGAGCTCCTGTAATCTTCCAATTATGTTTGATTGCAGTGCCTCCTTCCTGTCTCAGTATTAAAGGATGGTCAGCACTTTTCTGCAACCAAAACTGACTTTCAGATGAAGCCGCCACTTATTTCAATGGCTTGTTTATAATCAGCAGCTCTTTGGGCATGTGGAGCATCCCCTCCTTGGAGGAGGAGCCCACTCCAGGACCTCTCCCTGGCTGTTAGCCAACCTGTTAACGCATCACAGGGTTTAGGGGTCTACTAGGTGAGATAAGCCTTCAGGTACTGTGCAGGGACACGAAGAATAATGAGTTGGGTATCTGCCCCCTAGGAGGGCATCATGCTAGTGGGAGAGTCACAGGCATAGGTGTGAAAAGTCACACTCCTAGAAGGCACCTTGCCAGTGAAAGAGTTACAGGTACGTATGTGAAAAATCACGTAACGATTGAACCAGTCATTCATTCCACAGATACTAAACATGCTTGATGTTGGTAGCAAAGAGATGAATAAGTCAGAATCCCTGCACTTAAAGTATTCATCTTGTAAGAAAACAGAAATATGAACAAATAGTTAAAATGCCACTTTGTAAGCGTAGTGCTAGAGGAATGTGTCAAGGTTTGTAGTGAAATGAGAAGGGACTTCTGACTATTCAAGGAGACTTCCTGAAGGATGAGAAGGTTGGACTGTCTGTTTTTCAGAAGGTTGGACTTAAAAGGCGGTCAGTGAGGGGAGGTGCCCTCCAGGCAGAAAGAAGTATAGGTGGAAAGGCAGGGAGACTTGAAATCATGTGAATCTTTGAGTGGAATGGCAATTCATTTGCTCTGGAGCAAAGTTAGAGGATGGGTAGGGAAGGGACAGAAAATGAGAATGGGAAGGTAGGAAATGCTAGATACTAGAAGGCCTTGTCTGCAATGCAGAGGCATTTGTTTGTTTTTTAAACTATGCTAAAGTATGATTTTGTAGAGCTGGACAACTGAGTGAATGAAGAGGGGAGAAGTGCCCAAGGATGGCACGTTGCTTTGTGTGAGAACCTAGCGTCTTGAAAGGATCAGGGAGGAATGTCATGCTGAGAATAACCCTGGGACATGCCAAGCCCGAGAAGAGATAAAACTCCTTTGCAGAATTACATGACGCGAATCATCCATTCAGATACCCTACCACCAAGGGGCTGGAGCATGACTCCTTATTCCTTAGGTGGCAGCTGCTTCTAGCGACTTTTTTCCAAAGGTGCAGTGTGGAATTGGGGGCAGAAGTCAGAGAGAATAATTTCACAATTAAGAAACATGACAAGCTCAACTTCAGCCAGGGGGCCAAGGTCAACATCAACAGTCATAAATCGTGTCAATGGTAGGTAACCTTGATATGAGATGATAACATTGGCACTTTATCTCTGTGGTCTCCCTCATGATAACCCACAACCCCAATTTAATCATGAGAGAAAACATCAGACAAATCCTAGGAGAAGGACATTCTTCAAAATACTTGACCAGTGTTCCCAAAACTGTCATGGTCCTCAAAAACAAGGAAAGTCTTAGAAACTGTCACAGCAAGAAGAGCCTAAGAAAACATGACGGCTAAATGTAACGTGGTATCTTGGATGGCATTCTGAGACAGAAAAAAATCAACAGGTGAAAACAAAGAAGGCCGGTCGCGGTGACTCATGCCTGTAATCCCAGCACTTTGGGAGGCTGAGGCGGGCGGATCACGAGGTCAGGAGTTCGAGACCAGCCTGGCCAACATGGTGAAACCCCGTCTCTACTAAAAATACAAAAATTAGTCAGTCATAATGGTGGGCGCCTGTAATCCCAGCTACTCAGGAGGCTGAGGCAGGAGAATCGCTTGAACCCAGAAGGCGGAGGTGGTAGTGAGCCGAGATCATGCCACTGCATTCCAGTCTGGGCCACAGAGCAAGACACTGTCTCAAAAAAAAAAAAAACCTGAATAGAATATGGACTTTAGCTAATAATCATATGTCGACATTGGTTTATTAGTTGTAGCAAAGGTACTGTCCTAAGGCAAGATGTTAATTGTAAGGGAAACTGTGTGTGTGGTAGGAGGGACCTAGCTGTACTATCATCTCAATGTTTCTGTAAAACTAAAACTATTCTAAAAAGATAAATGTTTTTCTTTTTTAAATGAAGCCAGGCAAGACAATCCATGGACTTAATCCCAGGAAGACCTGCAGGTAGGAGCCTCGAGATACGGTAAGTGTAGAGACAAGAGTGAGTTTGCTTGCTGGAGGGAAAGCATTTGAGAGAATCGGAGAGAAAAATATGCAGGACTAGGAAGAAGGAGAGAATCCGGGGCTAAGGGGAGACTGAAGCAGGCATGAAATGGAGGAAGTAGCCCTCAGGCTAAGTCTTAAAGCATGGAAAGAATTCGGGTAGGTAGAAATGGAGGTAGTCCTCTTAAAAACTTAGAAAAATGCGAACGATGAAAGATCTCAAAAGGAATGTGCCATTGACTAGAAGAATCCATGGCTGCATTATGCTTTAAGTGGCTTTTTTTAAATATATATGATGAACCGAGCTTGGGGAAAACCACTTTGGATCACAGGGGTGATGACAAGGAGGAAGAGGTTGAGTAAAAAGAAGAGATACCATTCTGCAAACTTTTTTTTTTCTAACACATTCAGGACCTAGTTTTAAAATACGAATATTGTAAAGGAGATAATTAATGGGAACATGTTAATGGGAGGGAATAAATTCTAAAATCTCTCATGGGGATTTCTAAACTCTGATTACCCTTCTTTCCTCCCAGGTAAAGTTTGAGAGCTCATCAGTATTCCATGGAAGAGGAAGATCTGTCTTGACATATAGAGGTCAAGACAAAAATTGTTTGTTGAGTGAATTAATGAAATAATAGCAATTGTCAGCAGCCCTAAGTGTAACTGTTCTTATAAAGGTTTCACAGTTTGTGATTAAATCAAAATTGATCTACTTTATTCATTCATACAAGTCTGATTCTAAAGGCTACTGTGAGTTTAGCATAGCCAAATATCTTCTTTTAAAGCAGTAGAGGAAACAATTCATTAAAACTGCCTTATTGAAAGTCTTTTTGCTAAGAGAAATAATTTTTGCTAAAAGAAAATAATTACTGCAGAAAACTATCTGTGTAAAATGATCAAATTAGTGATTGGCCTGTTTTTCACTAAGCGGGTCCACCAGAAGTTATTCCAGCCAAGAATTGGTCCCCTTTGTGGCACTGCCATCAGATCTTTAAATGCAGCCAAGAATTCAGCAGGTACCATCCACAAATACAACCCTTCCATTTACTTCTAGGTTTTGTTTGAACCCTTATGTATTAAGACAGACAGAGACAGGGAGAGGGTAGAGAAAAGCAATTGTTATTCAGAATTGAATAATGCTTCTAACAATCTAGAACTTCAAATTGTTTTTACCCCAATCTGAGATGATTAACTCAAAGCAGTCCCGACATTTATCAGATGGTTATGAAAAGAAAGCAAAACTGGTCATGACCAAAAGGCCCATTTCTGCAGAAGTTCACATTCAGTACACCCAGTCGGTAGCCCCCCGGGAGTTGAGGAGAAAAGAGGAGGTCTGTAATGCAGCTGCCACACGGCGATCAGGCCCATCAGAGGGCTGCTGAAGCTGATCTGGTGTCCAGATAAACGTGGCATTCATGCTAGCCATCTGTCCACAGGTCAGTGGGGACAGAAACTCAAAATCATTATCTCTAATGAATGAATATACAATGACAGTCTTGTGTGTGGCAAAGGATCATCACATAGGAACATGGTTGGGGGAAATCAGGCATTGGAAAGCAGCACTAATCTTGCAAGGGAAAACAGTTCTCTGTGTGTGTGTGCGTGTGTGTGTGTGTGTGTGTGTGTGTTTGTGTGTGTGTGTGTGTGTTTACCGTTAACCCTTAATGTCTGGGATAAGCTTGCAAGAGAGGTGCTTTCACTTGGCACCATTGCCCTTTCTTTATCCAGAGCAGCACTGATATTTTGCAGAGATCGTTCAGTTGACAAGTTTCAGGATAGCATATATTTTTCTTTGGGCATGAATGTCCATCTTGTTACCCCGTTTTTGTTTTGCTCCTCTAGGGCAGAAAGCTCTGTAACTTCCTACCTTTCCTCTGCAGTGCCACACATAAAACCTTAAAAAACTAAATCCTATTCTCCTAGAGGTATCATGCTTTTAGTTGAAATAGCAAGTTCCTATTCCATATTCCTTTTTATTATTTCCCAAAGTGAATTAAAAAATCATATATATGGTTATTATATGGTTATCATATATTATATATTTTATATATTATATATCATACTTTTTATATTTTATATATACTTATATATTTTATATATTTATATATTTTATAATATATGTATTATATATGATTTACCAAGTACCTACTCCATACTAGGCACAGAAACCGGGAAGATGAAGAAAATGTTTCGTGATCCTAAGAATTTTCCAGTTCAATTCAGAAGATAAATGCCTTAAAGAATTATAAAGAAAATTAAATAGGAAGAGAACTACAGTAAATCAGTAATAAGCAGTAAGTAAAACAGAAGTAAAAATCAACATGCTGAAGGAATACGGAGAAAGGAAGGAGCAGGGAAGTGACACCTATCAGGCATACATAGCTGTGTAGGGCACTTTAAAGACATTGTTGCTTTTACTTTTGATATCTTCCTTCCAAGGTAGGAATCATTGTCCCTGTTTTGTAGTCCGGAAAGTTAAATCACAGAAGGGTTGAGTGAAAAATGCAGTGTCACACAGTAAAGGAAAAGCAGATCTGGAATTTGAAATCGAGTCTATCTGACTTCAAAACTTATGCCAGTGGGAATCCATGGACAGCTTATGGAGAAGAAGGCATTAGAGCTGGAGAAACCACAAAGACCCACTTTGCTCCAGAAGGAGGGGACAGATGAGGCAAAGACTGGGGGGAAGCTCTGGAGATGAGGACACACCCTCAGGAAAAGCCAGAGATGCGATGCGCTGGAAACAGGCTGGACACTGGGAAATGTAGACATGCAGGACACTGGCTGCCACGCACATTGTGGAGGGCCTTGATGCTACACCAAGGAATTGGACTTGATGCTGTAAGGGCTGAGGACCTATTGGAATGGAATCCCAGAGTCCAGGACTGAGTTTGGTCTTTAAGTGCAGTCATGTCCAGGGCTATCTGGACAGCTGATGGGATAGACCCAGAGGGATCTATGTGCAATAATCTCCTCAAATGGGCCATGATGAAACCCTTGGGAGCTCACCCTCAGATATGACTGTAAGGAGCAGGAACACCACTAGTCCCCAAGTGGTGTACGTGGCTGGGTAAGGACCCTCACTGGGTGGAGGTGAGGCAGGCACAGGACTCAGATGGGACAACACTTGGAAAACAAAGGAGAGACCATTAAGTATATCATAAAGGGCTGACATTTAAAGTTTCTTCTGGTCCAGATCCCTGGACTAACATCTTTGGGAGGGGGCCGTGATGAAACCCAGTCACTTTCACACCTGGGGCAACCAAGTTTCTCCGTGAATGCAAAGGCAGGATGTGATGAAGCTCTATGGCCTCAAAATTGTTACTTTCCAGGTAAGAAAGGTACGTTCATCATATTTTACTATGTGGTCCACTGGAAGTGGGAAGGGGAAAGGACTTGTCGTGGGAATAAAAGGCACACGCAGGACACCCAGACACTTTCAGAGAACTTGAAGACAGTTATCATAGCGGGACTATAGGTGCACACATTGTGGAGGGCCTTGAATGCCACACTTAATTCTGTGAGCACTGGGGATTCATTGTGAAAAGACCACAGATGGATGTGGATGACAAACACTGCTGATTTTAAGGAGGGGTTCAAGAGCTACACATGGAAAGGATGTGGTTCCAAGTAAGTCAAGGTATCCCCAAGTGTGGTCTACAGGTTCCTAGTGGCTCCCAGTGGCCTCACAAGTGGTCTGCAGGTGGTGGAATTGTTTCAAGTGAAAGCATGATGAAACAACCGTGTTCGTATGCATTTCACAAATTTGCAATGTAAGATTAATGTAATTTTTCCAAGAAATCTCTTCCATAATTACTACATGCTTTACAGTTTTACATGTACTATAGGGATTATGTTGTCAGTTCACCTAAGGTACTCTGTTAATAGGATATCTTACCTATTGTTTCTTCATCTCATTGCACACACTTGTACATTTTGGGAAATATATATAGTACTGTGCTGTTGCTATTGTTTTGTTGTATGCTAATGAGAACACTGGTGGCTGGCAGCCCCTAGGAGGCTTCTGAATGTGGCTGGTCACTTTCAGCCCCACCTCCTAACATCTGGGGAGGGAAGAGGGGCGGAAGGTTGAGTTGATCACCAACGGCTAAATATGTAATCAATCATGCCTATGTAATAAAGCTTTTATAAAAACTCAAAGGACTGGATTCTGGAAATGCCTGAGTTGATGAACACACCAGTGTGCTGGGAGGTGGCACACCCCAGCTCCACGGGAACAGAAGCTCCTATGCTCAGGACCCTCCAGACCTAGCTCAGTAAATCTCTGCATTTGGCTGTTCATCTGCTTCCTTCATTACATCTTGTATTAATAAACCAGTAAATGTAAGTAAAGTGTTTCCCCGAGTTCTGTGAGCCACTCTAATAAATTAATCGAATCCAAAGAGGGGGTTGTGGAAACCAAAATTTATAGCCAATTGTTCAGAAATTCCGAAAGCCTGAGCTTGTGACTGGCAGCTGAAATGAGAGGGGGTCCTGTGGGACTGAGCCCTCAACCTGTGGGATCTGATGCTATCTCCACATAGTCAGTGTCAGAACTGAATTGAATTGAATTGAATTAGAGGACATCCAGCTGATGTCTACTGGAGAATCCGCCGGTAGGATCATTTGCATGATGTGTGGGAAAACCCCACACCCACTTGGTCACAGAAGCATTCTGTATTGTGAGATGATGGTAGGAAAAACTGAGTTTATGTTTTCCTCTATCTCTATAGTCATAAATGAGCCATGGAACACGACTATGGATCAAATATAAAATGTGATTTCATATATTGGAGTGCATGGACACTCTCATTGACAATTTTGCTCAAGCAGCCAAAAAAAAAGAAAGAAAGAAACGTGGCTACTAAGTATAATAATATACATGCAAAAACTGAAGCTTTTGGATGGAGGGTCCATTTGTCCTTAGTTCCTAGCACACTGTAACAGAACTTTGTCCTAAAGTCATTTTTCGACAAAGTCTGATGACCTATTAAGCCAATCAGAACAGTTCAGAACAAATTGAGCAAAACATTGTCCACAAGAAATTAATGAATTTGTATCCTGAAATGTAGAAAAGAAAGGAAAATCAAAAAAGCATAGTTCAATGTTAAATTTTCATAGCACAAAAATACGTACAATTATACTGTTGCCAAGGAGCTTGTAAACCACCCACAAAGTTAATGGCAAATGTGCTCAGAGAGAGTGAGAAAGCAACACATTTCTTTTATGAACTAATATTGATGGATGATAGATAGTATCAGTAGCAGTGATTATGGCCCCTGATAGGACAGTAATGAATGAGCTCTTGGCATACATATATAGCACAGCAACAAGGGGAAAGTGCTGGGAACTTTTTGTTGTTTTTGTTGCTGAAAAACAAACAACAAACAGGCAAATGTTGTTTTCATGTTGGTAATGATTGCTTTGTGGGCTGTAATGCAGAGAGAAAGCAGGCAGAAGACTTACCATGTATATCACAAGAAGTGGCATGATCACGTAAAATAAGCTCACCCATTGTTTATCCACAGCTGGACAGCAATTATCTATCTCCTGGCCTTGGTTCAAAATATAAAGAAATTGTGAAAATGGTGGTCATTTTGCCCTCTCATATTTAATAAGAATTTGCTTGTGTAGGGAAGAGGTATTCAATCAAGGTATGAAACAAGTGGTCAGGTTGAAATGTTTCTTAAAGTTATAAACAATACAAGTAAAGATGATTATTTCAAATGACTTCCTTAAGTTATATCTCTGGAATATCTTGAACTTATCATTTCAAGGGCATAAAATCGTGTGTGTGTGTGTGTGTGTGTCTGTGCACACGCTCATGTTGAGAATAATATCAAGATTTCTTAAAACTGAATTTTGATTCATCAACTTCTGATGATTTTTTTGATGATTTTCCTTGCTTGTCTAAAAAAAAAAAAGCTGTAATATTTGAAAACTACATCTGAATCCAGTAAGAGCAGAATAAATGCATCTCCAAGCCAAATACTATCAAAGAGCTGTTGAGAAGTCCCTTTGCAAGTTGCAACACTGAGCCTACCAGAAATCTCCATGTAACTGGTATGAAAGAGGACCAGTACAAAATTACTGTTCATCATTGTTTCTTGTTCTACCTTGAGACCTGTTGCCAGGGAAACACCTGTTAGAGAGGTTGGCCTTGTATCTTCTATGCTTGACAGAGCACTTAGTGCATAGTCACTCAGAAAAACATTACTAAATACACAAGTGAATGGACCATCATGAGAATCTAGCTCTAATATTTTGTGATAATATGATCAGAGAATATCAGAGAATAGAATACTTTTCATCTTTTTAACATGTTTAGTCTTCAGATCCTGTTTAGAATCTCTCTGCTGCCCTAACTTCTCTTTGACTCCCTGTGCTTATTTCCAAAGCAAAGCTATCCAGTATCTTTCAGGTATCCAAGTGGGGCAAGCAAAGGGTTTTCCCCCCTGAGAATCCCCGGGCTGGTTGTGACATATGAGGACCACTCACAGCATCTCTCAAAACTGGCATCTCTCCACATCAAACACAACAAGCCTGTTAAGAAATATCCATTTGTCTGTTCTTGCTGTTGCAAGCTAAGGACGGGGGTTCTTTGGATTTTTATTCCTAGATCCAGTCTCTAATGGAAGGGCAGATGTTATTCTCGATGAATGGATGTTAATTCCTTGTAATCACTGAACTCTTCTCAAAACACTAACAATCTGCTTCCTATCCTGCTCTAGAATTCTGCAGAAAATCAGCATTCATCTCCTCCATCCATAGCTTCCAGAATCCTTGATTTTGTACATTGCAAAAAATGGGATAGTATTGACTATTTCCAGTGTTCATTCAGACCTCTGGCACTTGGTAATTTTGGACAGATGACAATAGGGGCTCCAGAGCAAAATCTCAGGATCCTTCAAATCTAATCTCCAGAATAGAAGGCAGTCAGGCCTAGACTCTCCAGCCCTTTCCAATGATGGTGAGTGCCTCTATCAGGGCCCATTCCAAGGACCAGAGCCAGACAAATATGCCGGCTCCATTATTCTTGAGAGGTAAAGGGTCAGACGGGGAAGCCCACTCATGTAACTAAGAAGGTAAGAGAAGACGTCCCAGGGAATATGCTGGTCTTAGAGGAATGAAAGAGCAACTTAGCTTTTCCAGGGTACCCCTTGCCTGTTCATCTGGAATTCTAATGGAATGTTAGTCCTGCTCCCTCCAATCCAACTTTTATGGGTCAATATGATCCCTGTAAAGCATAGACTGATCAGTTTAACCTTCATTTAAAATGTGTTGATGGGTTGCCATTATTGCCAAAGTAGGTGAAGCCCAAATCCCTTATCATGATGTAAAATATCCTCTATGGCCTGCCAGCTGCATTCCTCTCTAGAATCTGGGTGTCATGATTTGGCTTCTCTTTATACATAACTGCACACACCTCTGCATGCTTGTTCATGCTATGTCCTCTGTCTTTGCCATCAGTCACCTGGCTGGATCTTAACCATCCTTCAAAACTGCAGTTGACATCTGCTTCTCCAGGTAGCCTTCTTCCCAGCTTGGTAAGCGTCCCACCCTCTGGGCTTCCAGCAGGTCTTGTGCTCACCTGCATAGCAGAGCCCAAACACTCCCAAGGGCTAGAGTCCAAGACTGTCACCACCTCCAAAATTTGTAAATGCCATTATAGCATGTCATTTCCCCATAAAATACAGTAAAAATAACTCTGTTACCATTTATATGATGGCAAGTATAGATTGTGTCACTTATTGATAGCAGGTGTTTGGCAATTGACGAGGTCACTGGTTGGCCAGGTGGCATCCCCTCTTGCCATTCTCCCATGCACAGTTCAGACTGTGCCCTGTGTTAGATTCCTTTTGCTGCTGTAACAAATTATTACTAACTTGGTGACTTAAAATGATACCAGTTTTACTAGCTTATAGTGTTGGAGTCGGAAATCCAAAATCCTGCTGGCTAAAATCAAGGTTCTGTGATGCTTTGCTCCTTCTGGAGGGTCTCAGTTCTCCATTTTCTTGCCTTTTTCAGCTTCTAGAAATTGTCCGCCTTGCTGGGCTCATGGCCCTGCATCACTCCAGCCTCTGCCATATCATCACATCTTATTTTCTGTACTACGTGGGCATCTTTGAAGGTGGGAAGGCGTTACTCTGCCTATCACGTTTCATAGTAAGTTACAAGAAAGTATCACGAAGCTTTGGGTTTTCTTATAACAATTTAAACCATAAATGATAAAACCAAGACTTTGGGAAAGGTGTTCTCTTACCTGTTAATCCTCTCCTGATTATGAGTTATTGGAGGGCAAGGCCCAGTCTAAGTCACGTCTGGGCATCCCTGGCTCATGGATATGCTCTATAAACATTTGTTGAACTGAAATTCTTGCTTTTACTGAGATCAGGGGCTCTTCAAGGTCATTTAGGGAAACTCTTTGAAATTTGGCTGAGGACTGAGCTGCATGATCCTTTTATCCAAGCACATAAAACAAACATGTTTTCACTTCTAATATCATATTCAGCACTCTCTCCTCCATTCTGATCAGACCAGAATCTCTACACAAGTTGCTACATGAGACTGTGTTTTCAACCCTTCAGCTTCCTTTCCTGGGCAGAGTGAGAAATGCACATGGCAATTAAAAATAACAGCCTCAGCAGAGGAAACAGAACCACTTCTGAACGCCAGCCATCTGGAGCCACCCTGGGCTTGCAGCAATGGCTACTTCTTCATGGCTTGGTCAACACCCACCTGCGTGTTTCTTCTCAGCCTCCACCGCTTCAATGTCCTCTACCTGCAGGGGAACCACAGCCTCAACACCAGCCAGGCTGCATGACATGTGTCTAGAAGAAAGCCTGACTTTCAGCAGGTGTTCAATAAGTGTGTGCTTCTGCTCTTAAAGTCTCAGCCTATTTAGTCCACTCACCACACAGGGCACCCTGAGGGGTGAAGTTTTGGGTGGAGATGACGGCATGGGAAATTATATGTCTCATGCCTTGGCTGCAGGTGTGCTGGACTCCAGCTGAGCTGGACAGAGAGTCACATTGTGCAAGGCCTGCTGTCCCATTGATGTGGTCCTGGACTCTCAGCAGTGTAAAAAGCCATGTTCCCATTTAAACCACCGCGTGTAGACATCGTCTCATCTGCTTCTGTGTTGCAAACATTGCTCCCTCCTTATACTTTAGTTGTCAGCATCTTCATTACATAGGGGCCAGAATTGGCTATCTGAATGCAGGAGTGTTTCCTGACCTGCCCAGGGACTGCAGGAACCACCATCGCTTGCACCACCTGGGGACCCACAATTGCATCTCAGAGACCTGTGTTTCTCATCTGTAAAGTGGAGATAATAATATGTTTCCAAAAGGGCCCCTGCACGGAATAAAGTGGTAGAAATAAATAACCTACTGTTACCTGACACAAAGCAGGTGGTTGATAAATGGTAGATTTATTATTATTACTGTCATAGTTATTTCTACAGCATCATTTCATTCTGGCTTCTTTTTGGCAGACAGGAGCCTCGATCACAGGGAAGGTGATTCGGGAAATGAACCACAATGCAGACCCTCCACCCTCTCCTCCCAGGCAGCACCCTGGCGACAGCCGCAACTTTCTTCACTCGTCAGAGCTAATCTCTCTAAGAGTGGGATTAGCTGTGTCTGTGCCCTCTCACCGCTGGGCCATATGCTCCTGAATGACAGCTGTTTGACAGCCTATGCTGGGGGAACGTGGTCTTTTCAACCCAAATTTGATAAACATACATTTCTTCTGTCTGTCCTACTTTGGGCCATCTGTCAGTGTGGCATGATGCCTTCGCCTGGATTGGCAAGATGCTGACATCGGACCACCAAGGAAGGCTCAAGGAGAATGTTGCTGCCATGGGGAGTGGGGGGTGAGGCCTCCTCAGGGCCCAGGCGAAGCATGGCTTGGGCTGTCCAACCCTCACTTGCAGGAAGAAGAACACCTGAGACCTGTGTTAGCTTTCACAGCTAGCTTCGTCCCCGCTCTTGGACAAGAGAGATTGTTACAAAGTGTTGTACAGCAGTGCTTCTCAACCATGCATATGCTTACAGATTGCCTGAGGATCTTGTTAAGATGCAGATTCCAATTCAGTGGATCAGGGATGAGGCCCGAGATTCTGCATTCCTAATGAGCTCCCAGGTGAGGGTGATGTTAATGCTGCTGGTCAGAGGACCATAAAAGCAAGGTTATAAAGGACATCTGACTTGGGGTCAGACCATCTGGATCCTATAGACAGCCTCTTGCCAAGGGAATGCTTTGTAAACATGATTCCTGAAGAGAGAAAACAAAACAAACAAACAAAACAAAACAGAAAATAAGAGGTCGAGCTATTACGGGTCTCCTGAGTGAGTGTCCCGAACTTCTCAAGCTGTTGTAGCTCTCACTCAGTCACCTACCATGCCCAAACACTGCTAAATCCACCAGCCCAGAACAAACAGCTTAATAGCCATATTACATTTTATGGCATCTAATACAGATTCAGAAGAGGCACCGAATGCACAGGAAGTTGGAAGAACAACACTGGGCATGGTGGCTCACGCCTGTAATCCCAGCATTTTGGGAGGCTGAGGCAGGTGGAACACCTCAAGTCAGGAGTTCAAGACCAGCCTGACCAACATGGTGAAACCCCCACGTCTACTAAAAATACAAAAATTAGCCAGGCATGGTGGCACATGCCTGTAATTCCAGCTACTCAGGAGGCTGAGGCAGGAGAATTGCTTGAACCCGGGGGGTGGAGGTTGCCAAGATTGCGCCACTGCATTCCAGCCTGGGCAACAAGAGTGAAACTTTGTCTAAAGAAAAAAAAAAGGTGTTAGAAGAACGATAGCTACAACTTGTATCTACTGAGCACCTGCAGAATGCAAAGGGCAGATGAGGCAGGTTCTGGGATGTGGGAGGAGAGGCAGAGGGGCCAGGCACTCCAAAGGAGAAGCTCCAGAGCCCATAGGGTAGAACCTCCCTATTTCCGGTGAGTCCCAGGCTCTGGAAGAATCAGTTGAGAGGCAACCTGGAAGTGCTTCCTTTCAAGGTGGTAAGGAAGGAGGTAGAATAATATGAGCAATTTCCCAAATTGACTTTGGCAACCCAGAATTTCGGTGGAGATGTCGGACGGTGACATCAATCTGCCCAAATTGCTTTTGAAGATGGAGGGCTCAGGATCTCATAACTCTTCTTTAACTGTTAAGGAACTAATTAAATCTGTAGCATCTCTGTTAACTGAGTTTTATTATGTTAATTTCACTGCTGGACAAGCTAAGTCAAGCACCGGTAGACTGCACTGTGGGCTTCTGGCTCCTGACGAAAGGCGCTAATGATATCTTCAATGAACACAGTGCCTGTACCCACAGAATCCCAAGTGATTTACCAACAGTTTCCTGCCAATTCCCACAAGGCTGAGGCCTGGCGGCTGAGTATCACCCTGCCGGCCTCGTTCGATGAAACCCTTCTAATTCAGAGCATACGCACACAGGTGTGTCTGTGCAGGTACACACATTTGCCTTGTGGCATAGAACAAACACGGACCACCCGACTAGGTGAAGGTTAAAAAAATGTACAATTTGGAATGTGTTTACATTTTTCTTTTGATTGCTGATAATTCCTTCCTTTTAGCTGATATATGGGCCTTAATTAGTGGCTCTCTGTATGGGATCACAGCCATCCCATTGGTTCTGTCTACCTTCCCTGCACTTCCCCAGCCTGCTCCAGGCCCAGGCACCTGTATGTGTGCTCACCCACCCCATCCACAGCAGCAAAGTTTCACTGCAGCCTTGGACATCCTTCCAACAACCCTGCAAGCATGCAGAGCTCATGGGGTTGGGATGGCATGGGGCACCTGCACATCTTGGCCCTGTCCCACTCCAATGCATGATGCTGCCCAAACTGACAAACTCATTAGGAGCAAGACAAGTTACTTGGCTTATCAGGGAAGAGGCAGAGTGTGAATGAAAACCCCTATCATTTAACTCCTAGTGTTCTAGAATAATGGGATAGAATGAAGCTCAGAAATCTTGAAACTCTTCATTTCTACCCTCTCCTTGCGAAAGAAGAAACTATGCTTGGAAGATAAAAGACACTCAGTTGCTGAAGAACACCTAGAGCAGTGCATTCATAATTTGGAATCTGGTCTCCTATCTGCCAGGTCAGAGTTCCTACAGCAAACATTCCCAAGTCAATACAATGTGTACTTCCAGAAATTTAAAGCCACACAAGGCCTGGCCTGTTTGGGGACAGTTGGGTTTCTCCAGGATAGAGACAAGCCTAAACTCTGTCCTCCTAGGTAGTGAGCTGACAGGTCCTGGTAGAAGATCCCCCGCAGCCCTCCATCCTCTCTATCCCCACAGCTGAACCCTCAGACCGTCATGAGTGTTGGGCAGATGAGAGCAACTTTGAGAAATCTGCTCAGGAGCCATGACCCATAGAGACAAAGACACATGCTCAGGGAGGCCCTCCACATTTCTCTCATGGGGGAAAAAGCCCTAAACACACCCCTTCTTTTTCTTGCTTTCTTTTCCACACAAAATAAAGCCCCCCCCCAAAAAAAAATCCAAAAACTCTAAGAGCCTCTGAAACTTGGCTGCCCATACATTTTTCTGAAGCCTGCTTCTTCACCTCAAAACAAAAGCAAAAGGGAAAGAAAAACCAGGCCGAGGACCTTGTCTACTTCTGCCCTTGCTTCCTGATGGAGCAAATCCCTCATGAATTATGCACTTTCAGCTGCTGCCACCCCAGGCCATCCAGGCTCTGCCAAGGTAGCCAGCTCCTCCCCGGCTCCTGGTGTGATCTCAGCCCCAGGAAGGGCATCGGCACTGTCTTGATGGAAGAATGCCGGGTCCAGCTGCAACTCACCACTGACCCTCCCAGGTGAGCTCTGCAGAGAGATGCCCACAGCCAGGTGTCTGTGCCTGGTCATCGGTTTTCAGCCTAGTTTCTGGAGGAAGAGAGGAACCAAGAATCAGACAGGAGCTAGAGTGGGAGGCGGGGGAAGGAGTAAACCAATCACCAGAAGGTGGTGCTATACTTTAAGACAGACTAGCCAGAAGGGGAGAAGCCTCCGTGAGAAAGATTATAACATTTCAGAGAGGGAGGGTGTCTAAAGATAAAATACAGAGCACTGCAATGCTATGCAATGAAACGAAATGACGTCAGAGCTGAAAAGACTCTAAAATATCATTCTAGAATAATCTCATATCACTGGTGGGAAAACTGAGGCCCAGAGAGACACAGAGGTTTGCCCACCATTGTACAGACCAGAGGAAAAACTCGGTCTGTCGCCTCTTTAGGTTCTCCAAAGGCTGCCTGCTTTTTGGCAAAGCCGAGATTAGAGAATAAAACACGAGGATTGGCTCACAGTAGAGAAACATCAGGTTCAGGAATTGATGCTCCAGTGAGGCAGAAGGAGCCACAGTCCCTTCCCGGGAACAATCCACGGAGGCCTCCCAGAGCAAAGCCGAAACTACCAAAGAGTCAATCCAGTGTCCATCGCCTTGGCAGCATCACTGCTCAGCCTCATGAGTCTCCACAGGATGGCCAAATTAAAACTGCGGGCTATGGCCGGGCGCGGTGGCTCATGCCTGTAATCCCAGCACTTTGGGAGGCTGAGGCGGGTGGATCACGAGGTCAGGAGTTTGAGACCAGCCTGGCCAACATGGTGAAACCCCATCTCTACTTTAAAAATATACAAAAATTAGCTGGGCATGGTGGCACGCACCTGTAGTCCCAGCTGCTCAGGAGGCTGAGGCAGGAGAATCGCTTGAATCTGGGAGGCGGAGGTTGCAGTGAGCAGAGATCACACCACTGCACTCCAGCCTGGGAGACAGAGTAAGACTCTGTCTCAAAAACAAACAAACAAACAAAAAAAAAAAAAAACAAAGCAAAACAAAAACAACCATGGGCTTCACCACTTGCTAGCTGTGGGTATTCCTGTAACATCTCTGAGCCTTGACATCTCCATCAGTAAAATGGCATAAAAATATCTCCCTCTCAGAATCACTTCTGAGAATTAAAGACCCTTGTGCAAAGTGTCTAGCACAATCCTGGCATATGGTAAGTTCCCATGGCAGAACTTTCCCTACCCTTTTTGACTGTGCAAGGAGAAGCCTTCTCCTAAGTATCATGCATGTGGTCTGGAAATGCCAAGTGCTCTGCAGGTGGAAGAACCTGACCTTATGACATGGCTCATCACCAAGGACCCCAATCATAGAAGTTAAAGGATGGGTTGCAGGAGGAGGAGTAAGTATAGGGGCAGAGTTCATCCCACAGAGTCAATGGGGAGAAACTGACATCACTCTCAGGCCTTCCTGCCTGTGAAAAGCTCAGTTGCAAAGAACAAATTCCCTGGCAGAACCACTGAATGCCTACAGACACCTGCACGCACACACAACTAACATACACATGCCCAGATCGGCAAGGAGGGCGTGATATGGTTGCCTAAGTGCTGGGTCAGGAGACCCCAGCTTTCATGGTGGGCTCAGATCCAGCAGGAAACCACACTGTGAACGCCTTCCCACATTCTTTTCAATCACTGACTCTCACTCAGGGTCTGCAGGAGCCAGAAAGCATTATCACCATCCCCTCCATAGACAATAGGCCCAAGCCCTCGAAGGGCTTCCTCAGGACCACATAGCAAGGCAGCCCACTGAGCAGGTGAGTCTGCTGGGAAGTGGACAAGGCCCAGGCCCCGCCTCACTTATCTTCTTGGTTTCTCTTCTCGCCTCCCCATGAGAGGCCTGAGCCTCAGTTCCCTGGCTGAGAGGTGAGAGGGTAAGAGAGGGTGGAAGAACATACCCTGCTTGAGGTTGCAGCCACTCCATGGCCCCCTGGCTGCTGGACCAGTCCAGCCAGTCCCTTGACCTCTGTCTAGGGGAAATAGCCCCAGAATCCCTAAGGGGCCACTAATTTAGAACACATTTTACAGAGACTGAACTTTTGGGGCCATCTTTTAGAACAGCAGTGATGAAGAGACAGATATTACCTACAAGGGTGGGGGGAAACTGACTCCCATCCCTTCACATCCAATACTCAACTATTCATTCATGGGTTTCTGTGCCTCTACCCACACCTGTGCCAGGAATGCTCGCTGAGTGCTCCCTGTCATTACAACTTGCTGATAATGCTGCACCCTCATTCAACATCCAGCCTGGCTCCTATTATGCAGTCAGAGAAATGATCCCTGAGGAGGAGTCTGTCATGTACATCTGTGCTGCTGCAACACGTCACTCACAGTGGGCTGTTTATGGGGGTCATGAAGGGTACAGATGCTGGACTGCTGGGCTCCCACTCTGATTCACCACCTGCTAGCTCGCGTAGCCATAGGCAAGCAATTTCATCCTCCAGGACTTCTGCTTCCTCCATGATTAATTGAGGATAATGGTGGTCTACTTTACAACCCATGTAACATACTGATAGTAGCTAGTTTGTAGCACCTAATAAATTTTAACGAAGATTATCGGTGTTTCTTGTATGCATTCATTTGACATTTGTAGTTTGCCTACTATGTGCAGAAGCCATTGAGATCCTTCAACCTCAGGAACAAGAGCTGTGGCTTCCACACTGGAGGACTGAGGAGGAAACAAGACAGGCCAGTGTAGACACTAAGCAAAGGTGACCCGCTCCTTCTCCCTTATCCCTGTCAGAATGCTTCTCAGACTTTCAGTGCTCCACATATGGGGAACATTTGTGAGGTCATCGTAGTTTGTCCTTGGCATTCTCCAGACTCTCCTCTCTGTGCCAACTGCTTCCTCTATTCCCGAAGACACAGAGTCCTCCTGAACCTGCCGTGACCAATCTTGTTCTTTGTTCTAGAAAGAATTCTCTTTTATTTCTATCTTGATTTTTTGGGGAAAAAAAAAAAAAAGGTCTGCCTCAGCTTCCCAAAGTGCTGGGATTATAGGTATGGGTGTGAGCCACCGCACCCAGCTGAATTCTCCTCTTGATTCATGCTTTCAAAAACCCTTAGAGTGTCCCCACTGCATGACAATAGCATGGTAGGTTTTGGAGAAGAAATAGAGATGGCTGACACAGGATCCCTGCCCTTGCCCTTGAAAAGCCAACATCTTACTATACGTTCTTTTTTTTTTTTTTTTTTTTTTTTTTTTTTTGAGATGGACCTCACTCTGTCTCCAGGCTGGAGTGCAGTGGCATTATCTCAGCTCATTGCAACCTCCGCCTCCTGGGTTCAAGTGATTCTCATGCCTCAGCCTCCCGAGTAACTGGTATTACAGGCATGCGCCACCATGCCCGGCTAATTTTTGTATTTTTAGTAGAGACAGAGTTTCACTATGTTGAGCAGGCTGGTCTTGAACTCCTGACCTCAACTGATCCACCCACCTTGGCCTCTCAAAGTGCTGGGATTACAGGTGTGAGCCACTGTGCCTGGCCCTGCTATACATCCTTTTTTCTCAAAAGGTATTTATTGGACACTTACTAGGTGTCAGGCACATGCATAGTTGTGAACAAGATGGACCGAGTGTCTTTCCTGCTGAAGCTTGCAATCAAGTGGGGAACAATCTGTAAGCAAAGCATGCAATTGTAGTGAGACCAGAATGCAGGGCTTCATGGGAGTGCACAGGAGACAACAGAAAATAATGACAACGGGAGATTAAAGTTGAGGAGAAGGGAGGATGGAGGCTGCTGGAACACGTAGCAAGAGGCCAGCTCTTGTTGAGGCCAGGGCTCAGGAAAGCTTCAGAGATAAAAGAAACAACAAAGCATCGGTGTCGAAATCACAGATCCTAGAATCAGGCATCTGGCTTCAAATACCAGGTTGGACACTCACCTGGCTGATAGAGTTAACTTGGGCAAGGATTCGACCTTTCTAAGCCTCTGTTTTCACATCTGCTAAAATGGGAATAACACCAGTCCTTAAAGTACAGCACTGAGGTGGGGACTGGAGGAGCTGATCCATGGGGAATAAGCAGCACTATGCCTGTTGACACATAGATGGGCTCGATTTGAGTTTGTCCTTGTTGCTCTCACTGAGTGAGATGTGAGCTGGAATTAGGGATTGCCTCGAGGTGATTATGGAGAAAAGCATCTTGTGCTCTGCCCTGAGTGGAGGCCCTGGACATGGACAAGTCATTTCCTTTCCCTGGGCCTTAATTTTCCCATCTATGAAAAAAATGGGTCTGACGACTTATCACTGAGTTTTCTTTCCACTGTAAAATGCTATGACGGGGCCAGACATGATGGCTCATGCCTGTAATCCAGCACTTTGGAAGGCCAAGGTGGGCAGATCACTTGAGGTCAGGAGTTTGAGACCAGCCTGGCCAACATGGTGAAACCCCGTCTCTACTAAAAATACAAGTTAGCTGAGCATAGTGGTGGGGGCCTGTAATCCCAGCTACTCGGGAGGCTGAGGCAGAAGAATCACTTGAACTCAGGAAGCAGAGGCTTCAGTGAGCCGAAATCACACCACAGCACTCCAGCCTGGGGGACAGAGCAAGACTCCGTCTCAAAAAAAAAAAAAAAAAAGAAAAAGAAATGCTATGACTGTTTTGCTCTGACCTTTTGAAGTCTATGACCACACAGAATAATCACCCTTTTACATAGCATCTTAATACCTATGTTCAGGCAGACCATGGACAAAACCACATCCTTGGTAATGGCAAGGATGCCAATGTAAAGATGTGACGCAACTTGGAGGTGGTGCTGTATTCTGCATAAGCCAGTCCCCGATGCTGGTGAACTCTCCTGTCTATTTATGTTCAGTCTCAGTCTGAATCTTCACAGCCAACTCATTCACCACTACCACTACAGGTGCCCAAGAGAAGTGAAGACAGACTGTCATAACATGTATTCTGATTCAAGAGGCATGTGGTTTCAATATGCCCCATTGTGTTCATGACATTGTGGCTGATACTTTATTGTCTGCCTTTCAACAGAATCCTTTCTCTAGAGTTTGAGCCAAGTGGCCAAAACCACACAAATTCGACTGGATGTTGAATTTTTGCCCTCTGGCTTCTGCATGGTTTTAGGAAAAGGCTTTTCTTTTGTTTTCTATCTTGTTAAATAGCATCAATATCTACCTAAGACAGAACCTGGGAGTCATTCTAGACTTCTGGTCCTCACGTTCAATAGTTAGGCAATAACCTAACACAAGAAACTCTACCTCCACATCATCTTTCAGATGAGTCTAGTGAGTTTTAGCCTCATTGCTACATCCTGGCTGAGACACTCATCATGTCCTTGCTCAGATTTTTGCAATAAAGTTGATTTACTATTCTCCACTGACTCCAGTGTCTCTCCCTTTTCAGGCAAGAACTTCCTAAAATGTGTGTGAATGACCATTTCCCTCCACTACCTAACACTTTTCATTTATATTTTTTATTTTTTTTATGAGATGGAGTCTCACTCTGTCTCCCAGGCTGGAGTGCAGTGGCATGATCTCGGCTCACTGCAACCTCTGCCTCCTGGGTTCAAGTGAGTCTCCTGCCTCAGCCTCCCGAGTACCTGGGATTACAGGCGTGCACCAAAATATAAATATTTTTTGTATTTTTAGTAGAGATGAGGTTTTGCCATGTTGGCCAGGCTGGTCTTGAACTCTTGACCTCAAGTGATCTGCCCACCTCAGCCTCCCAAAGTGCTGGGATTATAGGCGTGAGCCACCGCACCCAGCCCTAACACTTTTCAACTAGCTCCCCATGCCCTACACCAGTGGTTTCCAAACTGGAGCGTGCATCAGAGCCATGTGGAGGACTGGTTAAAACACAGATTGGTGAGCCTTACACCCAGAGTTTCTGACTCAGTCAGTCTAGGACGGGGTCTGGAAGTTTGCATTTGTAACAAGTTGCTGGGTGATGCTGATACTGCTTTTCCAGGGACCACCCTTTAAGGACTACTGCACTACTCTACAAGACATAAACCCCTTGGCCTGGTGTGCAAGATTCTTGACAATCTGTACCCAGTAGAATTTTTTTTATGTTATTTTAAGTTATGTCACGCACTTATGCATCTAATATCTGTGGCTAACAAAGCCAAAACTCCGTGTAGAACAGAGACTTTCTAGTTTGAGCAGAGAATCTAGACTGTAGCTGTAAAGCTCACACCCTTACGAGGCAAGTGGCAGAGATCAGGCAGAATTCAACGGGCAGCCCAGGACTCATCCACCCAGCCAGAGTCTGGCAAGCATTGGCACACAAGTTTTGTAACTGTGCTTCGATGTAGATGCCATCCAAAATGCTGTCTTCATCTGATGCCTTGAATCCATGTGGCAAAATACACACCACAGCCAACTCATGATTTAAGCCAAACATAAACAAGATCTAAAACAAAATAGGGTGGACAGAAGCCACATGGAAAGGTAGTTTAAGGTTATGAAACCTGGCTTGAAAACCACATGTTGTCTGAACTTGTAAACATCAAAGAGCCAGACTGGAAAACTGTAATAATAGAATAATAATTAATAATAATAAAATCATGCCTTCCTCACTGTTACCCCAGGATATAAAACCATTAAAAAAATTAAGATGTGATAGGCCTATTAAGCCATTTACTCTGTCCCCTGCTAGAGAAGATTGGCTCCATTTGTAGGATCTTAAAAACCTTCTGTTCCAGGGAGGACTCCAGATGCCTAGAAGTCTGGGGAAACCTCAGAAAAGGTAACATTACAAAAACCCAGCTAACTGGCTATAGAGCAGCCTTCATTTCTCCTGCTTTGGAATTCTGGGCTGCTGTTATACAAAAACGAGGCCTTTTCCCATCTCCTTGGAAGGAAAAGGGAAGCGCTGATCTCCACCCTTACAGAGTTGTCTTCAGCTGCCACCTCCAGGGGAATTTTGTGGAGGACGGTGACTGTGATCCTGATGACCACACATGGGTTCCCAGAGCAGGACCCCTGAGATGGAGTTGCTAACACTGACCGTCCTTAAAGAATTGACCAGAATTTATCTTGACCATTTGGCCAACTTGTGCGCACTTGCCTGTTTCTTTCAGCGCTCATAATGAAAACAACTTGAAAATTCAGAGTTAATCATGAAATAAATTATTCTTGTATAATCAACGTGATGGCAATACTCAAATCATTCATTCTTTTGAGGCAAATTTTTTAAAAGTTGGGTAAATATTAATTTATCTTTATCCTTCTTAGGAATAACTTCCTTCCTGCCCCCCAGAACAACAACAAAAACCATCTGGCAGATGGAATCATTCAATAATGCTTTGGAATAAAGCTGATTTTATAATATTTATTTGATATAAATGTCTATCTTTTCTGCTATCATAATATGTATTTTCGTATATTATCTCGTGTATCATAAAATGAGCTCTTTGCTAACTCAATCCGTGATTTGCTGACTTGTGAGAAGGGTTTCTTGCAACTTATATCTTAATCATCTTCACACTTTTTGAGTAGCTTTTGGTCAAAGGGATTTATAGCATTTTAAGTTTCTCAGGGAATCATTGTAATTTCTTTTTAGAGCTGTGCCATCCAATATGGTAGTCACTAGCCACACATGGCAATTTAAGCTTAAGTGTAAGTAAAATTAAATAAAGCAAGAAAGGAAATCCCTTAGTCACACACCTAGGGAGATATTAAATATTCCAAAGCCACATGTAGTTAGTGACTACCATATTGGATATTGCAGATGTAGAAAATATTTATTATCACAGAAAGTTATATTCCTCAGCTGTGTTTCAAAAGTTTACCTTCTTCACAAAAGTCATTTTGTTCTTTTACTTAAAAATAAATTTGGCTCATGCCTGTAATCCCAGCACTTTGGGAGGCCGAGGCAGGCAGATCACCTGAGGTCAGGGGTTCGAGACCAGCCTGGCCAACATGGTGAAAACCCCATCTCTACTAAAAATACAAAAATTAGCTGGGTGTAGTGGCGTGCATCTGTAATCCCAGCTACTCGGGAGGCTGAGGCAGGAGAATCACTTGAGCCGAGGAGGCAGAAGTTGCAGTGAGCTGAGATTGTGCCACTGGACTCCAGCCTGCCGACAGAGCAAGACTCCACCTCAAAAAATAATAATAAATAAATAAATAAATAAATAAATAAATAAATAAATAAATTTGGGCCAGTCACAGTGGCTAATACCTGTAATCTTGGCACTTTGGGAGGCTGAGGCAAGAGAATCACTTGAGCCCATGGGTTCAAGACCAGCCTGGGATATGTGGCAAAACCATCTCTACAAAAAATTTAAAAATTAGTCAGGCATGGTGGCACACACCTGTAATCCCAGCTACTCAGGAGGCTGAGGTGGGAGGATCACTTGAGTCCAGGAAGTCATGGCTGTAGTGAGCCAAGATTGCACCACTGCACTCCAGCCTGGGTGACAGAGTGAGACCCTATCTCAACAACAAAACAAAACAAAAGATTTTGTTCTATTCTGAGGTTTATCCCATGATCCTTGCCTCTCCCATCCCACACCTCTGCTGTCAGAACCCACCTTCCCTATCAACTTCTCATCCTCTCCTCCACAAATACAGCTACTTCTTCACTTATGCCTGTAGACCTGGGCCTATCCAATCCTGAGAACTATCCCTATCCTGGCAATCATACAAAACAGTTGCTAAAATCAATTAACAATTCAGAACCAGACTCAAATTCCAACACTGTAATGATTGGTGTCTTGATCCCATTAATGTTTTTGAACATTTTCTTTCCTTTGTCCTTGAATGCTTTTCTGTCCCCTACTTACCAGAATTTCTATCACCCTGCCTGCTCTGACCTCAAATAGCTCCCAGCTGCAAATCTTTGAGAACTGCTCTATCCTTTAGGCCCATTCTTGGTGTCTCTTGGCCTATGGCTGGCCATGGGTTCAGTGTCACATAGGAAGATCTGGAAAATGCATATCCAGGCTATGAGTGCTCACTAGTTTTCATCTCAAAGGTCCTATGTCTGCTCAAATTAGAAGATGGCAAAGTAGAAAGGACACTACTTTGGGGTACAAAAATGGAATTCTGACCCCATTTTTCCATTTCTAGCTCTGTGAATTTGGGGCAAGCTACAAAACATCTCTGAGCCTCCTTGGCCTCACCTGGGGGATAATAATAGCAACCATGGGCTTAATTGAGGATTATATGATATAGGATATTAAACAGCCAGCTCAGCGGTGAGTTTATATAAATCTAGATACTCAATAAAATCATTCCCTTTCAATGTTTCTCTTTAAAAATATATGAATTAGTGGTAATAGAATAATGCAGCGGGTAGTTGGTGTTTTCTTTAAGCTGTTAAAAGACACAGCTCTTAAAAGTAACTATTTAATTAACATCTTGCTTTTGTTCATATTACTACAAAAGTCTGTGTTAGCCATGCTCTGCATGGAAAACAATCCTTTAAAAGGCCAGCACTTTCAGAGCTAACTTCAAATTAGTGAGGCACACGTACTCTCTGTCCACTCTAAGTTTCTAATCACTAAGGTTATTCCTGTCCCAAACTTCTCCACGAACACAAAAGCAGAACAGGCAGCATGGCGTGGTGAGGAACGAGCCAACTGCCTGAGGTGAAATCTTGACTTGAGCCCTTCCTGATTGCAGATTAAATAAAATAACACTCTAGAATGGCATCTGGCATCAGGCAGTGCTTTCTCCCTAAATCTGTGTATGAAATTATTCTCATACTCCAAAGACCATGGGAAACTCACCTGAAATATTGTGATCACTGGGAAAAATATTCAGACGCAGGCTTTTGGCAATTCTTACCAATAATGGTAAGGATATATTGATCAGTTGTTTGGGCCAGGCCCTGTGCAAAGTGCTTTAGCTGCATCCTTCCATTTCTTTAAGCTTCAACCTATGAGCCCTTGGGCAAATTCCCCAATGAGCCCAGAGCAAAACCAGAATTCAGTACAGGAAAATCTGACTCTAAAATCCAGACTCTTAACTTCAGTGTGTTTCTGCGTCTCCCAGTAGGCACGTGCCGTGCGGAGGCCTCCTGACCTAGGAGTGACGCTGAAGCCTCACATACTGGGTTCAGTTCTGGTTCCACAACTTGCTATCTCTGTCAGCTTGCAATTTCATCTGAGTAATCTGTTTCCTAATATGTAAAATAAGGATGATACTACAATGTTGGGGGGGTTCCTATGACAATGTAGTGAAATGAAGTGTGCAAAGCACCTAGCCACACAGTAGGCATACAGCAAATAGAAACCGTCTGAACAAAGAACTAGCGTGCCCATGATCTGCAGAGGAAAGTAAATTACTTTTTCACCCCGGGAGCTGACAATGGTCTAAGTTCTCATTGGAGCAGTTAAGTGGGTAATTGCTTTAGCAAAAGGGGGAACTAATTATAAAAGTGGAAGTCCTGGGAAAAGCAGGCTTTGTATGTTGCTGCCTGGCTTGGTGTCATCAGTTGTCTCTAGGCCTCCAGTTTCCAACCTGCTGGGTTCTCTCTGGAGGTTCTGAGGCATTTAAGAGAAAGAGAGGCCATACATTTTTTAAAACTGCTCTTTGTGAACTGCAACTTTTGCAACAACTCAAGTCCCTGAAAATCTTTGTGCTGATATTTCTTGAGGTTGCCTGTTTTGCCAAGATGCCTGCTCTTAAAAGTAAAGTCCCACAAAATGATTTTTATGTTTTTGGCCATATTTTCACTTCCTGGGCTCTGTAATTACTCCAAGTGGTGCCTGAATCTACTCAAAAGGATTCCATAGACCAGGAGACACGCCAGAATGCTCCCACCCTACAAGCTGCTCTCCCTCCCTTGGACTTCCACCCTCCAATGTAACTTCCAGAGAAATAGCTCCAGTGATCTTTCCAGACAATCAAATGCCATAAACCCATTGCTTAAGTGGTTCTCCATTGTCTATAGGGTCTATAATACAGGGTCCAGCTCTTTCCATAATCTGGACCTAACCATGACCTCTCCCACTGATATGGCTCTCAACCCCTCTAGACCTCTTATAATGAACTTCTGTAGTTTCTGAAAGGTTTCATGTTTTCTGCCTGTGTGCTTTGGCCCACAGTCTTCTCTTTGCCTGGACACTCTCCCTTCCCCATTTGCTTCTTGCTAAGTCCAAACAATTAATGCCTTGACACTCAGCTCAGTACCACCTTGAGGTAGATTGGAGCTTCCTCCTCGGTGTTCCCACAGTGACTTGTCCCCTTTTTTATAGCTCTAATGGCACCAACTGTGAATTGATTCTGCCTCCCCAATGAGACTACAAGACCTTCAAAGTTAGGAATCCTGTGTCATATCATAAGTGTAGGGTCATGTGCAGAAAAGGTGCCCAATAAATATTTGGAGAAGGAAGGGAAGGGAAAGGGAAAGGAGAGGAAGAGAGAGGCGAGGAGGAGGGTGAAGAGAGGAGATGCCAAATATTAATTACAAACAGAAGCCGAAGACTCAACTCTGACATCTTTGGCTTGAGCAGCCCCTCCTGGCTCCTCCTGGCACCAGATGTTTTGGAGCATGGACCCCCAGGACTCACCTGGCGCACATGCAGGTTAGGCTTTCCAACTTGACCAGCACAGTCTGGATTCCACTATTTTACCTGTGCTCATACAGCTTTCTGCCTTTTGAAACAAAGTCATGGCTAGAACATCAGCATCCAAATTCTTGGCAACCTGCTCACACCAAGCACAACCGCAGTGGGAGGGGTCACAAGACTGCTGCACCTGTAATCCCATGGACAGCTGGCATTGTCTTCTGAATCTATGGGGTTGAAAATATTCAGGCACCCCAGAAACTTCTTACTGGTTAGTCCTCAATAGACCTTCCCTAAGGATTTACCCTTGCTCTTGTTGCTTTTATTAAGTGCTATCTCTACTCTTTCTCACTCTGTTCCCTGGTGTTCATATCCATTTATCCCCCAAGAATGGCTGTAGATAAGGCCATCTCACCAATTCCATGTTTCCCAATGTCTCCAAAAAGCCCATGGAATCCTTGTCTTTTGGGAGAATATTAAAGGATGCCTGGCATAGGAAAAAATCGTTAGCTTAGTTGTCAGTAGAACCTGGGTTTGCTTTTGAACTCCCGCAGGTACTGGGCAAGTAACTTGATTGCTCTGAGTCAGTTTCCTTGTGTATAACATGGGAGGGCAGGAGTGTTAAGAGTGCCTCTTTCATAGAACTGCTGTAATGATTGGGTATCATCTGAGCAGAGCTTTTCACACATGGTAGGTACTCAACCAACTGTAGCTAAAACAATAATAATTATTTAAAATTTTAACCTGAAATAATTTAAAATAATAATTAAATAATTAAGCCCCACTGTACAAACCATAACTAACAAAAATAACCAATGTGAAGAAGTTACAAAGATTCAACAACTCTGACAGTCTGTTTGTAATCACTAATCTCAAATTTGTCACTACTCCCCAAGAAGGTTTTGAATGCTCTCTTAGCTTGCTATGGTCCTCCTAGATCTTCATCCTCAAATCTCATCAAACCATCCATCCTCAGTCTCTTATCCTTCATTAGGGTTGAAGAACCCCTTCATCCATAGAACTCCCTCTTTCTTGCATATAGTGCTTTAAGATACCACTGAATATATATTTATGCACATACACACCATTGAATAAGCTTTTATGTAATTGATATTTGATTTTGCAATAATATCCAAGTCTCTAGTAAATTATAGTGGACCAGATGTTAAAAGCCATATGACGTCTACAGAAAGGGCAAAAGTAAAATGGGGAAGGGAGTAGTATTGTAAGGATATTGAGAAAATCAAAGTTTTTTTTCTATTGTTTCACCCAACAATCAACACAGAATATTTCTCCTCTGGACACCAAGTGTGTGGAGATTTCTCCCCACCAGCAACCAATCAATCAATTGTGCAGCAGACGCCAGTCAGGTGTCCTCTAACTCAGTTCAATCCTGACTCTGTTTACCTGGAGATAGCATCAGATCTCACAGCTTGAGGGCTCAGTCTCACAAGACTATCCCCCACTTCCAATGAAAATTGTAAGACTCAGGTAAGACTCACGTTGTGACCTGTACTTCTGACTGACTGGCTATAATTGAGACTCCCACCCCTTCCTCTTCTTCAATTAATTTGCTAGAGCACAGAACTCAGAGAAACACTTACTTATATATGCTGGTGTAATATAAAGATACAGGTGAAGACACAGATAGGGTGAGGTACGGGAAGGAACTGGGAGCTTCCATGCCCTCCCTAGACACATCACCTCTAAGAGACCTCCTATCAGCTATCAGGAAGTTCTCAAAACCCAATCGTTTTGGGTTCTTATGGAGGCCTGAATTGTGTAGTCTAGATTGATTAAACCATTGGCCATCAGCCAATGAATCTTTAGTCTCTCTCCCTTCCCTGGTGGTTGGGGGGTGTGACTGAAAGTCCCAACGCTCTAATCCTGCCTTGGTCTTACCAGTAACCAACCTCTATCCTGAAGCTACCTAGGGGCTGCCACCACCAATCAACTTATTAGCATACAAAAAGACACTATCACTTTGGAGAGTCGAAGGATTTTAGGACTTTTAGGCCAGGAAACTGGATGAAGACAAAATAGATATTTTACAATGTCCCAAGAACATAACCACCAAGAAGGCCAGCCAACATTCAGAAAGGAGGGAGGTGAAACACCAGCTATGGAGATAGCACTCTGGAGCCATTTAGCACCAGGGCAAGAGGTAAGACCCCCTCCACACTCACATACCCACACACCACCACCACAAAGATAACAGTAACAGTATACAGCAGCCCAGTGAAATAATTGATGTGTGTGACAACTACCAGGCAGGTGTGGCACATGGCATGTCCAGGCTAATGAGGGTCCTTTGAGTTTCTCAAGTCCAAACTTTCATTGTTCAGTGAACAGATTAAGACCCAGGAAGGTTAACAGACTCTCGTTTTTTCCTTCCAAAAGTAAAATCCCCTAGAAAATGGTAAACTTGGTTTAATTATCTTGCTTATTGTGTATAATGATGATTGTGATAACATCTACATGTGTTAACTGCTTGCTATAAGCCAGGCTTTGTTCTACTTGCATTAACTTATTTCATATTCAAAATAACCCTTAGAGGTAGGGATGATTATCAGTTCCAGGGAGTGAAACTGTGGCAGAGAGAAGTCAAACAACTCCCCCAAGTTAACATGTCTAATAAGGGATGGCACGTGGAGAGGATGTGTGTTATTGATTCTTAGAATAACTTCTATTAAAAATCTTAAAACATAGATAATATTTGCACTTTTGTTATCTGAAAAATCAATTTATATGATACATCAGTTTCCCTAAAGATAATAATGATACGCTGATCTATTATCCTTCTCTATATTTGATTGATAATCCCTCTCATCAAACCAAACATGTGTTGCTTCTCTGCAGGAGTGAGCCTTCTTGCTCTGCCTAACTCTGCCTGAGAAGCAGTAATTCAGTTTCAATCTGAAATTATTTCCATCCTGTTTAATTCAATAGCCATTAATTCCCTGACTTCACTCCCTAACCCCTGAACATCTGCTTCTTCCAATGCCTGTTTTTAGCTCATCGGTGGGTTTGATGGCCTCTGTTAAGCACTTACTTCTCACATACTTGGCTAAAATCTTTAAAGCAAATGATGATCAGAGTTTTTTTTTTCCTGAAATCTTAAGACATATTCTCAGCTCACTGGAAAATAGATAACAGGATTTCACTTTAAACTTTTAAGCCAAGAGATAAGGCTGGAGGTTATAAATTTTGATTATTCAATATTCACACCTTTTTGCTGGCTGCCTAATATTCTCTCTTCATCTTTAAAGACTCATTCTGAAAGAGTCACCTCTAATGGGAGGCATCCCAGACTGCCCATTCTGGGTCAGGAGTTCCTCCTTGACTCTTCCACACCCTGTGCCTTATTTTCTGCTATACAGTGGTCCCCCCGTATCCTTGAGAGATGGGTTCTATGACCCCCAGCAGATACCCAAATCCAAAGATGCTCAAGTCCCAGATAGAAAGTGGCATAACATTTGCAAAGAAACTAACGCAATGCTCCCCTGTACTTTGTCATCTCTAGATTACTTATAATACCTAAAACGTTGTAAATGCTATATAAATAGTTGTCATACTATATTTTTTATTTGTTTTATTTGTGGTCTTATTGTTTTTTTTTTTTCTAATATTTTCTATCTGTGGTTGGTTGGATTCATGGATGCAGCACCCAGGGAAGGTCTACTGCACTTTTTTTTTTTTAAGACCAAACAAGATCGGGCATGGTGGCTCACGCCTGTAATCTCAGCACTTTGTGATGCCAGGACGAGTGGATCGCTTGAGTCCAGGAGTTTAACGCCAGCCTGGGAAACATGATGAAACCCCATCTCTACAAAAAAATATAAAACTTAGCCGGGCAAGGTGGTGCATGCTTGTAGTCCCAGCTACTCAGGAGGCTGAGGTGGGAGGATCAATTAAGCACAGGAGGTCAAGGCTGCAGTGAGCCGTGATTGTGCTACTGCATTCTAACCCGGGCAACAAAGTGAGTCAAGTCTCAAAACAAAACAAAACTAAAGACCAAATAGGATCACGACTTACTTATTATTTCACAACTTAATTTTTTAAAATAATCTCAACTTTCATTTTCGATTCGGGGAGTACATATGCAGTTTGTTACCTGGGTATATTGTATGGTTTGGGGACAAGGGTTGAAAAACTACCTATCAGGTACTATGCTCAGTACTTGAGTGATGGGATCAACCACATGGGATTTACCACACAATTAAATTTTCTTTTTCTTTCTTTTTTTTTTTTTCTTTTTTTTGAGACACACTTTTGCTCTTGTTGCCCAGGCTGGAGTGCAATGGTGCCATCTTGGTTCACTACAACCTCTGCCTCCCAGGTACAAGCAATTCTCCTGTCTCAGCCTCCCAAGTAGCTGGGATTACAGGCATGCACCACCACCCCCAGCTAATTTTTGTATTTTTTAGTAGAGATAGGGTTTCACCATCTTGGCCAGTCTGGTCTCGAACTCCTGACCTCAAGTGATCCGCCCACCTTGGCCTCCCAAAGTGCTGAGATTACAGGCGTGAGCCACCACACCTGGCTACACTGTTAAATTTTCAATGCGTCTCCCTTGCTAGACTTTAAGCCTCTTAATGACAATGATTATCTATTTTTTTACCTCTTTTTCTCCCAGGCTTAACAGAGTGTCTGGCATACAGTTAATATTAAATGTTTATGAGATTTCATGAATTAATAAACTTCAAATTTCAGGAACATAGAATTTGGGTCATAAGCTCCAACTATCCTTCCTGGTTTCCAGCTTCCACCTCTAAATTGTGCATAGTAAGATGCATCATGCAGGCATTGTGGGATATAAGTGCAATCACAAGTATAAAGTGCCTTGTAAATGATAAGTTCCATAAAGTAATAACTATTAATGTTAACAGTATTATTTATTGCTCAACAGTCTGTGATTGATTAACTGAATTAATTGATTGATCAATTAGTAACTAATTTATTAGAAAACACATGATTTTTACACGTTGGTACCATTTAACCCATTCCCGTGCTTTTCCTTTAAAGTATCCAAGTGAAAGCAAGAAAGTTCCAGCATCCGGAGGTTTCCAAATATCCAAGTGCTGGGCAGTATAAGCCTGTGAGGTTTGGATGTTTGGCTAGGAGCCTCATCTGTCTCTAGGAGGTTTTCCTCCATCTCATCTTGGTTTTTGTAAAGCAGTAGGTTGAGACACAGAGACAGAGCAAAACTCTGCACATCTGAACACCAGGGTGCAGGCACAGCCCTGTCCTCAGGCAGGAGGGACTCTGAGAAGACTAGATAGCCCAGAGCACTGGCCTGGTTTGACTGCAGCTCCAAAGAAATGGCAGTCACAAGATTGCAGCTCATGGATTTGAAATATGTCTTTGATGTGACCTCACCACAGCCCCTTGCACACCCCTCCTTTAGACTCAGAGTCAGGAAGCAACCACGAAGATACAGGGAGGAACTGGAAGTGTGGAAAGAGCCAGGAGATTTGCATCTTGGGATAACTCTGGCACTCCACGCTGGCATATGTGTAAGCAAGCCATTCCCCTTTCCTCTTTTTTCATCTATAAAATGAGAGCGTGACTCTCTCACCTACAAATGAGAGATCAGAGGTGGCGATGACCAGCATGCATGTATGCTTCCCCTGCTGAGGCCTCTGGGGATAATGGCCAATTCACCTCTCTATTCTTTTCCACTGGCTTTGAGATGTTGGCCTCAGAGTATTCTTCAACACCAAATTCCAGGCAACTGCTCAATCCAGCAAAGTTGTCTTGGGAGATGAAACCTATTGGTCACCTCTGGTCACTAGAAGACTTCTAAGTTTCTTCGAGTTGTAGGATTCAGAGCCTTCTCACGGATAAACATCTAAACCAATCTGTAACATGTAAAGGTCGTGCAACCTCCTCATGCTTCTATGTGAGCATAGATGAACCCCATGTCAATCAAATGCTTTCTCTAAGTATTAATATTATGTGCCTTGAAATGCTTACTTGGCAAATCTGCTCTTCCAGGACCCTGGAAACAAGGCCCCCAAATCAATCTCTTGAATGTACCTAGAAATGGGTTTACTTGTGCTTTGTTCTGTGAACACACTCAAAAACAACTACTACTGTAGCAAAGGCTTGGATAGAAAAGGCTATTCCAATTGCCCTGTGTACAGTCGACTCCAAACTTCTTTTAAAAATTTAGTTTGTTAAAAAAAAAAAATCTGTAAAGACAAATATTTTTCCTAAGAGGAAATATAGAAAACTGATCAACACAAGGACAAAATGTTTTTCTCACTAATAATCAAAGAAAGCAAATTAAAGTTACCCATGAGATATCATTTCATTACCAAAAAAAGTTACTAACATTTTTAAGAACTTGATAACCCCCAATGCTGACAAAATTAGGTGAAACTAGTAAACATATACTAGTATTGACATTATAAATTGACTCAACCCTTTTGGAAATAGCACGTAGCAAAAATCACAGAGGTAGTCATGTCTTTTATGACATTTTTTCTTTTCTGAAAGTGTATATTAAAGATACAATTTATTACAATTTAGCTACCTTTGGGAAAATAGCAAATATTTTAAATATTTCCCAAACAGAAGTTGGCCATCCGTATATATGGATATTGTGAAGCCATCAAAAATAGTAATTTTTAAGCAATCTTAAAGTATTCCTAGTGTAATACTAAGAATAAAAATCAACACACAAAATGTCACATTTATCATGATTAGAGTTTTGTAAAGGTATGCATATGTATGAACAGAAACCAACATTTTCAAGAAAAATAAAAAATGATTGGGTTAGACTGGGATTTGTTCTTTTTCTTTTAAAACCCGTTCTTCTATTTTTTTTTTTTTTCATTTTTTAACCAAAAAGGTCAGCTAGCTCTATTTGATGTTGCTATGCACTCTCTCCTCTGTCTAAGGGGGGATTGTGAACATCACTGTGAAAGATGCCATCGTGGGAAGCCAAGGATCCGGGTTTCATGCACATGATTGCTGGATGCCTGGACGGAAAGTCTCTGGGTTCGCCTTCAGATGCTTTTTGCTGTTCAGGGAATTGTGAAGCAAATACCAAAAGTTGCAACACGCCAAGCTGCAAGATAAATATTGTTTTGGACTTGGGGGAAGAAAAAGGGAGGAGGGCAGAAATAATCTTATTTTAGATCTTGTCGGTTCTCAAGGTAACACACAATTGATACACACTTGGCCAGCGGAGAACAGAACACTCATTAAACCTCCACATTTTGGCGCCATCATAAGGCTGGTTTTGACCACCTCGGAGCAAGAGCCTCAGCATTCACAGCAGATAATTCTGACTTGAGGACGGGGTTCTAGACACTCTTTGATTCAAAAACAATAAATAGCAATTAACTTAGGCAATTAATTTGCCAATCTTCCGACCAACTGGAAACTGCGATTTAGAGAGCAATTTGGTATTTCGGTGCAAGTTAACCTTTCGGAGGTGTTTGCCTCCGCCTAACTACTGACCACCCCTCTTTAAAATTCAACTGCATCTCAGGAAACGGGGAACTTTCCAAGCACAGAACTTCCCCCTGGACTCTTATTCACTAGCTTGTCAATCAGATGTTCAACCTTCCTTTAAAGTTTAAGCCTTATTAACCTACACACTGGATTTCACTGGTGATAGGCCATTGCAGACAAAAAGAAACCCCTCTCAGGTTCCAAATCCTGTCGTCCTGGTTCAGCTCCCCACAAATTCCCTGGAAGGGATGAAAGGATCACTCACATGTCTGATCCTTCAAACACAAGCAATGAGAGGACGGTGTTAGAAAAAAAAAAAAGTTTGTGGAGGCCCTGCTGATTGAGACATCTTGGAGAAAAAACAGCTCTGCTCGTAACCAAATTCTGCCCGGAGCAAACGGGAGTACCCAGCCTCAGTCTTCACAGACCCTGTCGCAAGCATGCTGTGCACACCATATGCAAGATCCGAACCAAACATATAGTTGGCAAAGGTACTGGTTTCAGAGACGGGCATGCCAGGGTTGCCCAGATACTGGTACAAAGTCAGCTCCAGAGTTGGGAGTGTCTAGTCGAGAAGATTCTAACTGAAAAGCCAGTAGAATTATTCATGGAGGCAGCTTGGATATCAAAAATATGGTCTCTATGACTGGGGCAAAGGAAAAGGCAATCGGAGACCTCTCTCATCCTGCCACCATCCCCAGGGATTTCACATCCTTTGATTTCTTTCTCTTTGTTCCATCACAGCAGAACTTTACCTTGATTCTGAACAGTTTTTTTCATGCATTTCCATAAGGCTTGGCACCTCTGTCACTTTCCACACTCACTAGCTTAAAAACAAAACAATATGCATGTCCCTAATGAGTGGAAACTAACTGGAAGACATTGAAATGCGTGGTGTTATAGACAGGGAAATACAGAAATAAGGATCCATTTGTCACTTTTCAGAGCCCTGCTCCTCCCCAAGGCCAGGTGCAGCAATTGGAGAGGAAGGGCACTCAGACTTTCACTATGTTGTCATGATATTTATTTTACCTGCCTTTTAGAATTTCAGAACCAACTACATTCCTGGGATTCCTAGTTATCCTAGGAATAGGCATGAACTTGGAGGGAGCTATTGGAAGCCTATTCTTGCCCCAGACCCACTCACTGGGTCACAGGCACTGGAGCTCTCAGTTGGCAGGCTTGGATGCTCTTCCAGGCAGATGGAACAATGGAGGGACCCCTTCTCCCCGAAGGACTTCCAAGGCCTCAGAACTCCACTCCCATGCCAAACCCAGGGCAGGAGGACAGGGGAAAAGCAGAGCCGCTTGCATTTTATTCTATTCTATTTGTTCCTTCTCTTTGACTCTATTTTAAGTCACATTTATTGGGCAACTACAATTTTTCTTTCTTTTTTTTTTTTGGACACAGAGTCTTGCTCCGTCACCCAGGCTGGAGTGCAGTCACATGATCTCAGCTCACTGCAACCTCAGCCTCCAGGGTTCAAGCAATCCTCCTGCCTCAGCCTCCTGAGTAGCTGGGACTACAGGCACATGCCACTGCATCCGGTTAATTTTTGTACTTTTAGTAGGGACAAGGTTTCATTCTTTTGGCCAGGCTGGTCTTGAACTCCTGATCTCAGGTGATCCACTTGCCTCGGCCTCCAAAAGTGCTCAGATTACAGGCATGAGCCACCTTGACTGGCTCAAAAATTTTTTTAAAAGGTGGCAGTGGCTGGGAGGTGTCAAAAAACAAATTCGTGCTGCTGCATCTCCTAACCAGTAGCCCATGAGCATGAATGGCAGCCCGAACCTGATCACACTAAATAGCATCTGTAGCCCTGATGAGCAAGCTGAGGGTACCATGGTGGGAGAGGCCAAGGGCAGCCAAGATGCCCCAGTCTGACAGCACCAGTTATTAACATTGAAATGCCTCAGTACTGAATGGCAATAAATGATGTTGCCCTGGGCCTCCCAAGTCTCTTGATTGGTGGGCGCTAGGTGACACAGATAGTAAAAGATGTATTATATTACTGCTAGTCAAACCCACAGGATCCATCAACTCCCCTAGTTTAGGCCCTGTTTGTTCCTCTCCCCATATAACCAAGGCCCAAGATGCCTAGATAGGGGAGCTTCCTGTGGTTTATGACTGGAAGAAAATCTCCACAATTGCTGGTAATTAACTCTGGAATTGCATGGTGAATCTTTGTTAAACACCCCTCTTCCAAAAGTCAGGAGGTTGAATAAATATTAAAACATTATACTTTTATCAGGCATAAAAAGCAGACTTCATTCTTGTAACCTCTATTGAAGGTGCCATAGTGATTTATTTTTAAGGGGAAAAAAACAACAAAAAACAAGTCACATTTTCTGTTGCAAGAAACACGGCTTTCAGATAGACTATTAATTAGTTACTCTATAGTCCCTCCCTTTAGTTTTTAAAGTAAATAGTGAAAATGAGCCACAACAAAAGAAAGACTATTATGATTTATTTTAGTGCTTATTGAAGGCACGACAGACATCATGGATTTTTTTTTTCAAAGAGAAGTTTATTAAAAAAAGAGGAAGAAAAAATTTTCACTCTAAGGTTGCACATGTCGCTAGCTTATGATGTCATTTCCAGACCATGGGGTCACACAAGAATTATTTGTATGGATGATTGGAAAGCCATTAGAGAGAACACAAAGACCAAAGACTTTAAGTATTTTTTTTCAAAAAGCCCCTGGCACAGCCCCACTTTCTCGCCCGCCCATTCGATGTCCTTTTGAGGTAGCCAAGTCCAACAAGGCATGAAGAAAATGATTCCCTAGCTCTAGTGACTCCTCCTGTCCAAAGCCCAGAGCTTGGCATGGTGGGTTGGCATGAGAGCTGCAAGGGCAGTAGGCGCACTGGTGGGAATTACACAGAGCATGTGAAGGTCAAGGCCGCAGCTGTCCTTCCACTCTGCAGGCTCCGTGTTATCAGGGTAATTTACCAGCAGGTGAAATTTCTCACTCTCATCCAGAGCCAGCCATGTTCCTCCAAGGACACCTTTGCAGGAAAGTGTACTGAGTTATGAGCACTCAGGGTCAACACAGGGGAGGTGCTGACATGGCAGAGATGAACAGAGGAGATTAGGTGTGACTTTCTAGGATTAGCTGTTAGTCACTCTCATCGGGAATCTACCCCTGGCAGTATGACCTCTCAGCTTCCACAGTTATATAAACCAACTGCTCAATAGAACTAACTGGGTAATTCAAAATATTGTTGGATAAAGGAGGCAGCCTGATTTAGCAGGAAAAGCAAAAGGTTTTGAAGTCAAACTTAAAAGTCATGAGCTGTCTGACTTTAGACTCTATGAACTTTATTTTATTTACCTGCATAACAGGGACAGTACCCCCATGAGTGAATAGCTCTGTAACTTTAGAGGTGGACAAGGCCTTTGTAATCACAAAATCAAAGCATTGAAACATAAATGGAAGATGAAGGTGACTGTGCAGTCTTCAAAAAATGTAAAGAAATTAAAAGAAAATGCCAAATTAGAAAAATGTTTGGCAACTTTATATGTACATAATGGATTCATATTTTTAATATAGAGATCACTTGTAAGTCAATAATAAAAACAATAAGCAAAAAAAAATTTTCAATGAGCAACAGACATAAAAACACATTCATAAAAGATATATAAATGACCAATAAGCATGTGAGAAAAGTTCAACCTCGCTAAGTATCAAAATATTATAAATTATACCAAAGTAAGAGTCCATATTTGGCCTATCAAATTAAAAAAAAAATGTTTTAAATACCAAGGTTAGGCTGGGGTGGAAGAAAATGTATATTATCCTGTACTGTAGGTGGAAGTGTAAATTGGCATAACCTTATTGGGAACTATTTGAAAGTTCTAGAGATGCTCATACTCTTTAACCAAACAGTTCCACTCTTGAGGATTGATCTTAAGGAAATAATTACGGATGTGTTAATGATTTAGCTAAAAGGATGTTTGCTGCAGTGCTGTTTGTAATAGCAAATATTTAGAAACACAACCTAACTATTCAGCATTCATTCAAGTAAGTCATTCAACAAATATTTACCAAGTACTTAGTAAACTGTGGTAGACCAAGTAAACCAAGTAAATCATGGCACTTCAATGTAATAAAATACTCTATAGCATTAAAATGAGATAGAATATTTAATGACAGAAGAAAAGGTGGCCATAATATATTGTTAGCAAAATAAGGTTAAAAAAGGATATAGAATATAATTGCATTTGGGGAGAAATATTAATCTATATTTTCATAACATTTTGGAAATAATAATAAGGATTTTTAAAGTAGTTATTGCTGGGTGATGGGATATGGTTGTTTAAATTTCCTGAATTTTACTTTCTCTGCATTACAACTTTTTCTCTTACCATGAATTGTTTTATGATTTTTTAAAGTCACTAATTTATTAAAAGCATGTACCTTGTGTTTTAAAGATCAAATAAGAAAAGTGTCTGGTACATAATGAGTGCCCCTGCAAACATTTAATTTGTCTATCTGTTTATGGATTATTCCAGTACCTTCAGTGACTAACCTGGGAACTAGCTCATTTGGGTCTGAGCTCAAGCTTCCAGTGAGGAATTAGATCTTTGTGAATGACATCCTTGAATACACAGTCTGTGGAGTCATTCAAGCAGTTCACAAATATGCCAGTTCTCTCATTTGTGAAGGACTGCCCGGCTTTGCTGCTCTTTTTGTTCCATTCTTTGTTTTATTGCTAGTGTACTTGTATCTCTGTAATAGCTTTACCTTTTCTCTGTTTCTTTCTTGAGTTCTGCCAGCTTGTTTTTAATCTCCTTGTGTTGACTTTAATCTAGTCTTTCAACTCTCAAGTTTCTTCTTTGAGCTTTAAAAAAAATAATAAAATGAATATTGTGTATAATGTTTTGGTAACTTTAGGGAGTTGTTTGAACTTTGTTTCCTTAGATCATAATGTGTTCTCCATGTGCGTTTTCTGGTACCCCTATCCTCTTTTCTCTTTGCAGTATTTATGCAAGGGTTGTATGTTGGGCTCTTTCTTCACGTCCTTTATCTTTAAATATGGCCAAATACTGACTAAGAGTTTGTGAGAGCGCAATGGAAGTGAACTAAATCAATATGCAGTTTTGCATTAGATTTGCTACCTCTCCATCTGTTCACGAAATCTATGACTTCCTTTACTTTTGGAGAGTCTCTGCCCACGACTTTGGTGCTTAGGAGGTTGGTTCAGCTCACCTAAATGCCTTTTAGGATAGTCCTTCTCAAGGTATAAAATGCATACTAGTCCCCTGGAGACCTTGCTAAGATGTGGGTTCTGATTCATCGGGTCTGAGGTGTGCTCTGAAGTTCTGCATTTCTAACAAGCTCCCAGGCAGGACTAATGCTGTGGGTCCTCAAAGCACACTTTGAATTAGCAAGGTGTTGACATAGGAATGCGTGCAACTTTAGCTCCTTGGCCTCCGGCATCTGCCTCATCTAGGAGACTGGTAAGAGAGAACGGATTTGCTGTGTCTCTATAGTGTCTTCTTCAGACTCACTTGCCCTGAAGTTTCTAGAGGGATATGTTCCTTGCTCTAGAGGTCTGCCCACTGTCTTAGGCCATGTGGCTGTCATCAGAGAACCACTGGATAAGACTCTTAAGGCCCTGATTGTTACTTCTAGAAAAATGTGTTCTATTCTCATGGTCTGAAAAGAAATGTGAGCATGTCAGATTTGTACCTCATTTTGGTGCAGATTTCACAGTATTTGGCTAGCACACTTCATAGCTTGTGGTTTGCGGTTATAGCTGGGTTTTTTTTTTTTTTTTTTTTTGGTCTTAGTGAAAATAAAGTTTTATTTGTTAATTTTTCTGTTTTTCATTCTCTCTTCTGGATTTCAAGGAAGGAAAGGGGAAAAAAAGAAGCTTCTGCATCTTTAAGTGGAAATCAGACTGCAACTTTTGGTGAATTTCCCCAGGTAATCAGTTTCATGGAGCCTTGCCAGAAGGCGGCTCTGGAGGAAAGAGTTGAACTAGGCAGGCCTCCCCCTCAGCTGGTCCTTCAGCTGTGCCTGCCAATCCTGTTCTCTGCTTCCTGGCCCCCTCTCCTATTCTTCTCAGCAACTTTCCAACTGTATTGCTTTCCCCAGGCCTCCTCCACCCTTTCTGCATCTTCTCGGAAGACCTTGACTTTTATTTCAAAGAGAAAATTTAGCCTCTCCAGCACCCACAAGGTCTCTCAATTTTCATTCCCTTCATGATAAACTTAAACACAGTTGATTCTCATGATTCACAAATTTTGTATTTGTAAATTCACCTACTCAGTAAGATTTATTTGTAACCCCTCCAAATAAATACTCACAGTGCTTTTGCAGTCATCCCTGGACACACACAAAGTGGTAAAAAGAATTTGAGTCTCCAACACTCATGTCCACCGCCCCTGCCAGGTGGAGTGACGTGGTACTCTGCCTTCTCACGTGGCTCAGGTTGATGCAAAAGTAATTGCAGTTTCAGACTGTGAGTTTTAAATCATTATAACTAGGCTCAAACACATCTTTATTAATCAAAATAGGAACCATGACAATCAGCACATTTTTGCCAATGAGAAATAAGTTTGTTTATTCCTGTAGCATAAAAATCTATGCTTCGGGATTCAACAAACACTTGGAAAGCATTTTCTGCATCCTGCTGGTTGTGGAAGTGTTTTCCCTGCAAAAAGTTGTCAAGATGCTTGAAGAAGGGGTAGTCAATTGGCTAGAGGTCGGGTAAATATGGCAGATGAGGCAAAACTTTGTACCCCAATTCATTCAACTTTCGAAGCATTGGTTGAGAGACGTGTGGTCAGGTGTTGTCATGGGGAAGAATTGGGCCCTTTTGGTTGACCAATGCTGGCTGTAGGCATTGCAGTTTTCAGTGTATCTCATCAATTTGCTTAGCATACTTCTCAGATGTAATGGTTTCACCAGGATTCAGAAAGCTATAGTGGATCAGACTGGCAGCAGACCACCAAACAGTGATGATGACTTTTTTTGGTGCAAATTTGCCTTTGGGAAGTGTTTCGGAGCTTCTTCTCTGTCCAGCCACTGAGCTCGTCGTCAACGATTGTTGTATAAAGTCCACTTTTTGTTGCATGTCACAATCTGATTGAGAAATGGTTCACTGTTGCATAGAATAAGAGAAGATGACACTTCAAAATGAGGATGTTTTTCATTTTTGCTCTGCATATGAGGCACCCACTTATCAAGCTTTTTCTCCATTTCAATTTGCTTCAAATGTCAAATGATCATAGAATAGTTGATGTTGAGTTCTTCGGCAACTTCTCACATAGTTGTGAGAGGATCAGCATTGATGATTGCTTTCAATTGGTTGTTGTCAACTTCCAATGGTCAGCCACTACACTCCTCATCTTCAAGGCTCTCATATCTTTTGCAAAACTTCTTGAACCATCACCACACTGTACATTCATTAGCAGTTCCTGGACCAAATGCATTATTGATGTTGCAAGTTGTCACCACTGTTTTACAACCCATTTTGAACTCAAATAAGAAAATGACTCAAATTTGCTCTTTGTCTAACACCATTTCCATAGTCTAAAATAAATACAAAATATACAGCAAGTAATAAGTCATTAGCAAAAAAAAAGAAAGAATTGCACATTAAAATGATGTATAACATAACCACATTTATTTAAGAATGTATTCCAATAACAAATGGCAAATTTCAGTAATGCAAAAACTGCAATTACATTTACACCCACCTAACACTATAAACACGTGTCGATTTTGTGGGTCATTTAGTATCATGTTTTTTACATTTTTTGTGCTCTTTTTTGGAGATTTCACTGTTTAGAATGGCCTCCAAATACAATGCTGAAGTGTCATCTACTATTTCTAAGCACAAGGGGGCTGCCATGTGCCTTATGGAGAAAATGCATGTGTTAGGTAAGTTCAGTCAGGCATGAGTCATAGTGCTGTTGGCCCTGAGTTTGATGTTAGCAAATCAACAATATATATTAAATACGGCATCTTTAAACAGCAGCACACATAAAATAAGATTACGTATTAATTGATTAACAAAAATGCTGTGACAGAGGCTCATGGGAACCTTATCCTGTGTTTCTCCTAGGAGCAATGATTGCAGTATTTACTAAGTCAGTGTTCTTCAAGGTGAATGTAGAACAAAACTGCTGCAAATAATGAGAATCAGTGATACAGCTTTGACCTTTCTCACTTTTTCTCATCTCAAGACTCAGAACCATCCTCTCCCCTGTGTCCTCAACCCCATCCCTTCCTCAAGCCTTCACTCCATCAGTTATCTCCATGTTCTATGTTTTTCACTTCCCTCTCCCCTGTTTCCATCAACTTACATGTCAACTGAAGAATGATGAGGTTCAGGAATTTGGAAAGGAGAGCTTTATTTCTCACAAACAATTGCAGCCTGTAGTGTGGCCATTCTGACAGGCTGGGAAATGTAGCCTCCGGCCAGAAACCAGAAACAATTCAAGGGTAGGAAGAATAAAAAAGGGATTTATGCTGAGTACAGTGGTCAAATATATATACATATTCAATAAGCTATGGGAGGAGTCATGAGTATTTATGAGAGGAGAAACACACTCATGCACAATTGAGCCTCATGCCTCTCCCTTGGGCCCATGTTCAAAAAATGGTGGCGCCAGCATGATCTGAGGATAGAGTTTTCAGCCCTCTGATGTCAAAAAGTGAAGCAGAGGACACAAAATCCTCTTTGCACATCCTCCATAGACTGGCCAGACCCACTTCATGGTCATGGTCGGTGGTCTCTTATCAGGAAGGGATGCTGGGTGTTGTGCTGAAAGGGAGGGGCAGCATCAGGAAGTCAATTGCTATCAGGGGTAGAGTCTTTCCAAAGATTTGATTTATTTTCCTCCCTTAGGGAAGAACACCTAATGGTGATTAGCCAGGGAGGGAGCATAATGAGGCAGGTTCAACCTCTTTTCCTGTCGTGGCCGGGAACTCAGTTTTTAAAATTTCTCTGGGGTCCCTTCCCTTGGTCAAGAAGGGGTCCATTCCGTCAGTTTGAGGGGGGTAGAATTTTATTCTTATTTCTCACACATATAGGCTGAAGTTCCTCCTATGCTAAAAAGCAGTCATTATTAACTTTTACTAACTGTACCCTGCCTTTGACACTGAGCTAAGTGCTTTACATGCTTGATTTCTTTGACTCCTCAGACCCACTCTATAAGAGGAAGATGCAATCCCTACTTTACAAAGACAATAAAGTGTGAAGATGTTAAGTAAATGGTCGTAGAGCTTGTAAGTATTGAAGGACACATCCTCCTTTAGTGACTATCCAGATTTCTCTTGTCCTTTTCAAGCAAACTCTATAAAAATAAAATATAATTCATGGCTCTATGTCATTGCCTGACATTCATTTGCCCTCACCACTCTCCTGGAACAGCTCTCACCCATTAGCCAAGACAATCCTTTCCAACAGGTCTCCTTATCTTCCCCAGTCTGGCCCTTGCATTTGATCCTACTGTCATAGCACCACCTTGAAACCATTTCTTTGGTTCCCAGGACACTAGCCTCTTCCTTCTCTCTGCCTATGCTAGAGGTTCCCCTTGTGTCACATTATGGCCAACACGTCCCAGTATGTCACCTTGTTCACAAGAGTTCCACCCCAGGCCCATTGCTCTTTTTGCCCTATAAAACTGTACCTGACACAGGCTTCTGCACCTCAGAGAAGGAAAGGTGGAGAGCCCCGGTCTCCACCTGCTGATGAGGAATTTGCAATCTAGCTGGGAAGGCAAGACCCCTGTGGCTGAAAGTGCACTGTTGTAGCCTGGATCAGGTTCAGCCCTGACTCTACCTGCTACAGATACCCAGGGGAGGGAGAGATCCCTGAAGACCAGAGCAGCGTGGGAAGGCTTCCTGGAAGGGGCATCATGGGCCTTGAAGGATTTGGCTTCACAGAGAATTTGGCTATGAAGATACAAGAAGAGACACACTCCATGAGGAACAGAGAAATTTCAACTCCTTCACTGACACATTCCCCTCCTATGCCACAGTGATGCCTCTCACATCTGAGCCATGGCAGTGTTGGTCACCTGCACCTAATTTGCATGTTGACCCCACAACCTCACTTTATCTTGTACTGCTGTGGCCTGGCACATGGGCCCTGCTCCAGGGGATGGTGAGCACCCTGGGGTGGAGGCAGGGAGCGGGGAATTGGTAGTGTTGGTGTGTGGTTGGCACAAGCCAGAAAGCCAAGAGGGCCTGGTTTTGCATTCCAGTGTGACCACTTAGCAATCTGTGACCAGGAGCCAATTACCTCTCTCAGCCTGTTTCCCCACTCATTTAAAAGTAGCTTTCATAGGGCTCTTGTGAGGACCACATAAGGTAAAGCAAGTCACACATGGTGGCTGATGTGCAAGTCCATGCTGGAGAAATGTCTGACATCATTATTCATCTCTGGACCCGCCCTACATGGACCTCATCTCAGGCCTAGCATATGGAAGTGAATGTGTCTTTTCTTTTGAAACTTGGATTCCCCAATCAGACTATGTATCACAAGGATGAGGCCACATATTTATCTCAGGATCCCCCACCATGTTAGTACAGGAATCTTCAGAGAGTAAAGGGCAGAGGATAATCAGAGAAATGAGAACTATTTGGGCAGATTGGCTTTGGGCGGTCTTTGTGACTAAATATACTTCTCAAAAGTGTTAAGTGCTTGAGAAATATCTGCCCAGAAGGAAGGGCTTGGAGGAATGCAAGTAGCCTCTGCCCAGCCCAGGGTGGAGCTTCGCAGAATGAAAGAAGGTGCCGGCGGTGGCCCGGGGGCCTCCAACCACAGCACCCTGTGGCTCCAGGAGGCCCATGTCCTCCGCAGTGAGCATAAGTAGGATGCCACCAGCGCTGAGGGCCCAGACAGGAGGCACGCCACGTTCTTTCCCAATCAATGGCTTTCAACCCAGTTTCATTCTAGGGATTTCTAAGAATGCAGGGGCCCTACCATCATTATTAGCCTGTAAGCAAAAGGGTAAAAGGGAAAAGAAGAAAGAAAAGAACTCCTCAAGAAAATGTTTCCCCTGGAGTATTTTAAAATCTGGTGGAAACACTTTTCTCCAGATGCGTTTTCCCGGCAGGGTGACCCTCCGTGGCGGCAGGCAGTGACGGAGAGGAGTCTTCCCATAGCTCAGCACACAAAGCTGGTGTTGTTGAAATGAGAGCCGTGTAATCAGCTAAAGAATTCCTGAGCAGAACCAAGGGCAGCAGATACCCAAACCTTGAACTTCTTTACCTCCCTGCATTTTTCAAGTGCTTCCTGGAGAAAGGAGCACCCAGGGGCCTGGATTCTCTTCTAACTTAATTAGGGGCATGCAGAAATGGGGCTGACCCTGAGAATTGTCTCTGGAGGCCCAGGGCTCTGAATATTCCTGCTTGGAGACAGCAAGAGCCTTGGCAGGTGTTTGTGTTAAAGGGATGTCATGGACTTTTCCAGTGCCCTGACTCCGGAATGATGGGGAAATGGCAATCTCCTCCCCAACAGGCTATCTGGAGGCCCTCTCCACAGGTTCTCCACAAGAGGCTGACATTTCTCCACTAGTGACTATACCCTCATGGCCCATGGAAATAAATGAAGAGTCAGGAATCAGCATTCATTTTTCAGCTCCTGCCATGTGCCAGGCCCCAGCTGGGGGCTCCGAGTGCAGACAGAGGCAACAAGCACATGCTCTGACACCTGACTGCCTGTGTGGGTCTGAATCCTGGCTCTGCCACTAGCTATGTGGCCTTGGACCCGTCACTTAGCCTCTCTGTGCCTCAGTTTCTTTATTCATACAGTGGGGATAGTAATAATAGCTACTCATAGAAATGTGGTGACAATTACAATGTGATGTTTCTAACGTGCTTAGGACAGTACCCAGCAATTAGAAAGTGCCCAGGGAAGGTCAGCTGTTATTATGAATACTTTATTATGGGAGGCAGAGCCCTGAAGAAACAGGTCCACAATCCCACAGGAAATAACTCATGACGCTTGGGTTTGAAGCTCACAGGCTCTAGTGCTGTGAAATGGGACACCCTTGGACCTACCTGTGAAGCAAAATTTGATTCAGTTAAATAAACACTGTATAAGATACTACTTAGTCTGTGCCAGACCCGCAGGAGATGGGAGCGGCTCCAGGACCAGACTGGTCCCTGCTCTCTAGCTGCTTTGGGTCTGTGGCAGAGGCTGATGTGTAAATAAGAAACCACAAAACAATGTAACTAGTGACGCAGCTACAGGAATCAAGTCAAGAGAAAGTGAGAGGCTCTGAGAAACTCATCACCCCTGGTTCGTAGCATTTTCCTAGATGAGGCAAGAGGGTTGGAAAGCATGCATTTTTATACTTTATGAGCAGGAATTGCTGCTTTGCAAGAGCTCGGGCAGTTTGGCCAATAAATACTTATTGGATTTGTTTTTATAGAATTCCATTTTCCATTGGTACCATTCTCTGGCCGTGTGCTCATCCACCTCAAGAGCTCCCCCGCCATTCCCACTGCTGAGAGTTCTGCCCTTGGGGACTCCTGGGTCTGAACCAGGCTGGCATGGCTCTGCTCTCTGCCTGTCATTCCCTGCGCACTCCTGGTGTCCATGTCTCTGTATGTCTGCGCAGCACGTCACATGGGTAGGGCTCGCTGGGGGGTGCAGCCTTTTTATGAGGAGTCTCCATAGACAGCTCTTGCTGTAGGTCAATGGCATACACCCTACAAGTAACTGAATTTGAGGACTTGCAGCTCCTTGGAGATAATTACCTCCACGCCCACAACGTAATGGAAAAAACTGAGACTCAACATGGGAAATAGACCTCTCCAAAGTGGCATCTCAGCAAGTGCCCAGGGGAGCTGGAACTGGAGCCCTGGAATCCTGACACAGCCCCTGCTCCCTCAGTGGCCGGGCTGTCATGTGTCAATGCATCCAGAACACATAGCCTGTCTATTTCACTGACCCTTGCCTGTCCCTGCCTGGCTCCTCCTGGGGGTCCTCAGGACCCCCTCCACCTCACCTCCACTCTGAAGGGAGTCTCAGATTCTGTCTCCAGGTGTTGCTGTGGGCTGACTCTGAGGCTGGCCAGGCTGGGCAGGCCAGGGGCAAAGGGAGTGCAAACCAATAAGTCTGAGGCTTGAAGACAGCTGGCCTCCACCTCTGCTTCTGCCTCCAGTGCAGCTGGGGTGCTGAAGGAAGGCTAGTGGAAACCCTGAGTTCCAGCACTGGCCAGATATCACAGACCGAGAGACTCTGGGCCTCAGTTTCTCCACCCATAAGATGAGCAGGCTAGCCGAGGTGCTGGGAGCACTCTCCCAGCTGTGAACATCTGGATCCCCACCTCCCCTAACGACCGCACCCCCCAAAACACACACTCAGTAGCAGTCACAACAACGCATTCCCCTCTCCAAGGTGGATGGGGAAAAGAATATGCAAACATGCCTCATTAGAGCTGGAAGTCAAAACAGCTTCTCTGTGTGATTCACCCAATCCCACAGCATTCTGCGGAAAGCGAAGCAAAGGGAGCTTTCATCGCGTGCCAGATTGAAGCGTGGGCAGCTGAGGTAAAAGAACAATTTCTCTAGTTCCAAACATGTTTTGGGGGTGCCGGCATCCCCTGTCAGCTCGCCTTACCGTCTCCCTCCCCATCTCCAGGCACTCGATTACCCCTGCCCCCAGAAGCATTCCTAGTCTTGAACTTTCTAATCATGGCCTGCCTTTGTCTGAGCACTTGGGATCATATGGCATCAATTGAGAACGTAACCCGACTCAGGTTTGGTATTTAACATACCTGCTGCAGAGGAAGTGTCTTTGAAGGCGAGGCCCTGTGCGGTGGCCCCCGACCCTCCCTTCTGCACGGCCCAACCCTGCACCTCTTAATCAGTCTCCTGAACTCACCACGGAGGTCTCACAATGGAAGGGCAATTATGAGGGCGAGCAGATGAAAGAGGCAGCCCCAATGGTCCAAAAGGTTCTTTTGCTTTTAAATTATCCATGATTTACCTGAATAAAAGGAGAGGAAGTGCCTGAAGATTATTCTAATTGAGCCAGACTTTTCAAATCATGGAAATACCAGCATTTCCAAGGGGAAATCCAATCCGTTCAAATTGCCCCCGTGAGTAACTCATACAAACAGAAGGAAAGAGGGGGCTTTCATTTGCCAATGTGGGTCTGATCAGTGTAAATTGGATAAATGGTGAGGGCCAGAAGGGCATGAAGCTCCCAGAGTCCTCTGCCCATGTTTTCTTAGCCAGGTTTGTAAAAGGGATCATTCTGGAGCAGAGGGCGTTTGAGGAAATTCCTCCATTTCGGCACCAAGCCTCCTCCTCCTGTTATTGAAAACAGGCCAGGCAGAGGGTGTTTTCTCCTGGCTGATGCATGTCCTTCCAACTTCCAGCTTCTCTGCCCTGAAGGTCTGCAGATAACAGGCATCTTTAAAGGGCGGACACGGATTGTCTATGCCTGTATTTCAGTTAAAGAGTTCAAGACAAGAAGAAGACAAAAACTTGGCATGACTGCATGGCCTCCCTCCTGGGAGAGGCTGAAAGCCTCTGTATGAATGGACACCTCTGTGAATGGGACAAGCTGAAGAGGAGGAATTTGAGGCAGAGAAATTAAGTACCTTCCATAAGGTCAGAGTTCGAGTCCCTGGGAAAGCTAGGGCAAGACCTTCCTGCTTTTGGGTTCCCTGCTCGCCCCAAGTTGAGACAATGGGCCTTTTCTTTGGAGCACTCAAAGCCATGTATGTTTAGGAACATTTGTATTAAAACTCCATGTGTGTTCACAGAGGCTGCCTATATATTTGAAACTTTGGTTCAAAAATTTCCCTGGGCATTGGAATAAGTACTATTTAGAAATAAGTGGAATATGTATATTCCATGTTGGTAGTTCTCAGTATGCCAAAAGAAGCCTACTTCTATGAGTTCATATATATATAAAGTGTGAGTGTGTGTGTTTATATATAAAGCCACATATATTACATATCTATGCATCAGGATCACATTTACCATAATTTAAAAATAAATTGCAGATAACAACCCTTGATACACAAGGCCACATTTTAGGGTAGAGAGTTCTACTTGTTAAACAATAAAACCTGCCTTTGCTAAGCTAGGATGCTAGAGTATTTTTGTTTTTGCAAAAAAAAAAAAAAAAAAAAAAAAAAGATAACCTTAGCTTTGTTAGACCCTGTGACTAAGACTTCTGTTAAACAAACAAAACAAACTGTATGGCACCTTGAAACTCCCAGGGTGCTTTCACACACCTTGTCCAATTATGCAACCTTCACAGCAATGCTGAGAGGAAGTCGGGGTGTTGTTTCTACTCCCATGTTGCAGAGGAAGAAACGGAGCCAGGGAGCTGGGGGAGCCACACCTGCAGGCAGCCTCCCAGATCCTCGGCCAGCACTTTGTGATGAAGGTGCTCAAGGTGGCCCAGAATCCCACAGTGAGGCGATTCCAAACCCACCCAGTTTCTCCACCTCCACATCTCCACCCATGCATTGGTGGCTATCTACAGAGCAAGATGAGCTAGCCAAAGTAGAACTTATTCTCATGCACTTAAGCATGAGAAGCTGAGGTCAAGGATTCTTTGAACTATTTCCAAAACCTCAAGAACATTAAGAAGTGACTCCACAAAGACATGTTGAGACGGTTAAATTTAGCAGTCATGAAAGTCTAGGGATCCAAAGTTTATTTAAAACAGCAGCAACATGTTAGTGGTAGCCCCAGCTCTGCTGTTGGGATGGATATTTATAGGATGTAAATAACTTCTGTCTCCAAGAACATTAATGGAGCTGCTCATGCTCATGCCCATTTGTGTAAGGAGCATACTGCAACAGCTCTGCAAAATCTGGGACACATATCTGTACCCCCTTCTTTTCATGCCAGTTAATTTTATGGAATCCCTCTTTGGGAGTGGAAAGGGAGTGGAAAGAGCTTCACAAGGCATCATTTTGGCTCAATATTTGAGACATGAAGATAAACTGAAAAGAGGCTCAACACACTTAGAGTTGTGGCCTCTGTTTTCAACTTCGCCTCCGCTGGGCATCAGTCTTGGGCTGCTCACATCACCTGAGCTCCAGTTTCCATTATCTCATTCCCTTAGGTGAGTGTAATCCCTTCCCAGGCTGCCTCCCACGGCTCCACAAAGATCTAAAGACAGCGTAGCGACGCCCATATGGAGGGACGCCAGCAGGTAAGTCCCATCCACTGATTAAGGGGGCTTCTGTAGGAGAATAGGAAGGGCTCCAAGGGCAGAGTATTTCAGGCTTCCCTCCCATTACCAATATCAATTTGCAGATTCCATCACTGCAAATTCATGTCCTTGGTAAAATGCATCTGTAACCACAACATTAATACCTGCAGCTCTTTCCCTGCTATTTGTGGACACGAGAAGAGCAGTGAAGCAGTTGGGTCACTCATTCAAAGCTGAGGTCAAAAGAGGCCCTACTGTGCCTTCTTTCATTTTTCAAGTTTTTGTTTTTTTATTTTTAATAGAGATGGGGGTCTCACTATGTTCCCTAGGCTGGTCTCAAACTCCAGGGCTCAAGTGATCCTCCCACCTCACCCTCCCAAAGTGCTGGGATTACAGGTGCAAGCCACCATGCCTGGCCCTGATCTGCCTTCTTGTTTCAGCTCTCATGCTATAAACAAGTGTCCCTTTTGCAGTTTATTTACTGTTACATTTTCCACATTTTTACACTTTTTGTTGGTGATTTCACTGCTTAAAAATGGCCCCCAAGGAAAGGGCTGAAATGCTGTCTCATTTTCCTCTGTGCAAGACTGTGATGTGCCTTACGGAGAAAACATGTGTTAGGTAAGCTTCGTGTGGACATGAGTTCCAGTGCTGTTGGCAATGAGTTCAATGTGAATGAATCAGTAACATATATTAAATAAGGTGTCTTCCAACAGAAACACACAACACACACAATACAAGATTCTGCATTGATAGGCTGACTAACACATCATGGCCAGAGGCTCGCAGGAACCTAAACCTGTGTTTCCTCTAGAAGCCATGGTTCAGCATTGGCTAATTCAGTGTTTTCGGTGCCTTTATAGAACATAACTGCCTCAAATAACACGAATCCACTGTACTCATCAAACATCTCAATCCTGACAAGAAAGACCGAAATCCTTCAGGCAGGCAGACAATGTTCTGCCGACCTTGCTCTTGTGCTCTTACTGATGTAGGTGCTGCTGCATGTCTGGTGTGCCTGGCCCCAGGTGCCAGGACCTCAGAACCACCCCTGACACCAGCCCTCCCCCTTCCCTGGAGAGGCTTTCCCATGTCTCAGGCTTCAAGCCCCAGCTCCTGGCCACTCTCTCTAAACTCCTCCCAGTCCCTGCAGCCAAACCAATGTCCCCCTCTCTGTGCTCTGGTGTCCCCATATTGTGCCACCACACAATGCTGGATGGCATGTCTCCCAGAAGGCAGAGAGCAGAGTGAGTAGGTGCGCCGTGGTGAGGGTAGTGACTGCACTTGCCCATGAGGGCTGCAGTGACATGAACCAGTGTGGGACCCACACAGCATTTAGAACAGTGCTTGGCCTACAGTTAGCACCGAGTTAGTCATATTTTAACCATCTGCTTCCTCCCGTAGCCTCCAGGATTCTTGAGGACAAGAATCTCCCCTTCTTGCCCTTATGTGCCCAGTAGGTAAGTGTCAGTGAATGAACTAAGTCACTGTCTCCTTCATTATGACGATGGAAAATGTGGGGATTTAAGAAAAAAAAAACAGAAAGACACTTTTCTGCAGTGAAGATGTTGAAACATTTCAGAAGTCAGGCTCCGCAGGCAGTAGGGGACACAGTGGAGAGGGATGAAAGGCTTCTTTGACATTGGTGATGCTTGCAAAATTGACATATGTTGTTGGTTCCCCTGTTTCTGGGACCCCCTCAGGCTGGTAGGTGATAGCGAAGGAAGGGGTGAATTTGGTTGGAATGGCAAATAGGCCACAGAAGAGAAGGCTGGAGGGGAAGAAGAAGCGAAGGGAGTTAGAACAGGGACTGTGGATCTGCGGGGAGAAGACTCATCAAGGCAGAGGGCACAGAGGAGAATGCGTGCCCTAGACTCAGAGTCTGGCTCTGGATGCTCTTGCTGCCTCTCTGGACTGCGGCCTATGGGCAGCTATTCCCACTCCAGGCCACAGCTTATACATCTGGGACAGAGGTCGTAATTTCCACCCTTACAATGCTGCCTAGATCAAATGAGATAAGGAGCATGAAGGTCTAAGAGATTTTTGGCACAGACCAGGAGCTCATTACCACTAGTTCCCTTCTTTTCATGGGCTCAGCATTGGTTGAAGAAAGGTGTTTCCTTGGGGTCCCACAGCTGCCTTGCTGGGAGGTTTCCATAATACCGACAGTGCTGACTGCCATCAGAGGGAACAGGACCTCCAAACCTCAGCGCCCCCAAGGACACGGGGCCCCCTGTGTAAAGACAGATGGACAGGACAGCAACTCCACTGAATCTCTCCCCTGCTTGGCCTGGCCCAGGCCCCAAAGCAGGACCTCTAGCCCTTCTGACTTGCTCAAGGCATCAGAGGCTCAAGGTAGAAACAGAATCTGAAAGCAGTCAGGCACTGTAAGGCCTTGTAGGCTGCAGTACTCATCTCCCTGGTCCAGTGACCTTTTGGTGTCCCCCGTGGTAACAACACCCTATGATTTTACAGCAACTTTCCCAAAGGAGCTCAAAGTCCGGGGAGATACATGACCTCATTAGTTTTCACTCTGGTGGGGATAAGGCAGTCAGTTCCAGCAGGTCTCATTCATGGTAGGGAAGGTGAGGCCCCATGAGTCACTGGCAGGAGCAGACACAGATTTCTCAGGACCAGAAGCTGCTGAGACCCTTCTCCTCCTCCTTGCCCTCCTCCCACCAGGCCCACGGAGATTTGCTACCAGGTATTCCTGCAGCACCATGTGTGCCCAGTCCTGCCCTGGGGCACCTGGGCTTTAGTTCCAAGTTCTGCTACCACATGCTCCCCAACTTGCTCTGAGCTTGTCCTTTTGGGGTTGAAAATAATTTTCCTTATCCAAACCTGACCTTGCTCTGTTCAAATCAAGGGCTTTTCTCATGGTCAAACCAGATAGACTGTTCTAGACAGCATAGCATTCCTGGGGGCAGGACCTATGGTGATAGGCAAAATAAGAGCGATTTATTACCTGAGAGGTGAAGAAGGTGCTAAGAATAAAAATAAACTAGATCCCTTTTCCAAAATGAAGCACACACCTTCATAATGGACTGGTTTTCACAATGGGTTTTAAAGACGTGTTTCCCCAGTACTCTTACATTCCATGCAAACCCATACCACACAGATGCGTCTGTTCTCTTTACGTGGACACAAACACACGTGTGTACATACACAGCTTCCCTAATGCGTATTTGCTGACACAGAAGCCCACAGCACGAGCACTCCTGATGCACACCTATGCACCCTGGCCACATGGATGTGTTTGCATGCACTCCCGTGTCACATGGGGAGACACATGCAGACACATGCACTCGCGGGGGACAAGCCATCCCCTCACATCCTCTCTCGCTTAAGTTGCATCTCCCTCTTGCAGACATCTAGAGTAGAGTACATTCCCTGCTCCAAAAATTAACTTCAAGGGTGGTCCTTTCTGGACCCCTGGCCTCTGTTTCCCCAACACAAGACCCCAGCCCCCAACATGTGAGAAAGTGGAGTCTCCTCTGACTCTAAGCCCAGGACTCCCCCATCTGGGACCTCACAGCCCCCTTCTATCTGTCCAGCCAAGCAGCTCCTTGATTCAAGGCCATTGCATTTTCTGAGTATGGCCTGACTGTCCAGCCAGGGCTGCTCTGGACCAGCAGGCACTGTGGACATCATGCCACTAGAGTTCCACCTTGCATGGCAGCCCACTGTGTTGACCAGACAGCCAAGAAAAGAGGGTCACGCTGTCAGGGATATTAAAGATATAGAATGACAGAAACAGCCCTGGACTGAGAGGCAGAGGCCCCCATCCACTCTCCTGTTCTTTCACACAACCCTGGAGAATTTTCTCCAGTTCTTTCATCTCTTTGGGCTTGTTTTCTTATCTTTAAAGCTATGACAATTATAACAGCCTCAAGAGACTTCTGTGCTGGAAGGATGAAGTGTAGTGTAAGCAAAACCCCTAGCCCTGTGTGTGGTCTGTGGAAGGCACCTGACAAATAGAATCCTTTTTCTTTCCTTATAACCAAATCCCCTGCACAGCCAGTGTAGTTGGATCTGTAGGTCTTTGGTCTGTAAAGCCAGAAGAGACAGGGCTTCCAGGTCATATTGTCCAACCTGTTATCCTACAGATGTGGAAATGAGGGAGGAAGAAGGGCTCATAAGCAAGAAAGAAGGCTCACCAAGGTCACATTGCTGTGAATTTACTGGACTCAATTTGAGATCAAGCTCCAAGTATCAGACTGGAAAGGGTCTTAGAAGCCATTTCTTCACAAGGTTGACAAGATGTTCTGCAAAGCTCAGCTTTGCTTTGTGGGACCCCTTAGGGAGCAAGGGGTGGACTAGCAAGAGATCTCAGCTCTCTACCCCTACCGCAACCATTTCAACTCTTCCTAGGAAATGGTGAAATATTGCTGAAGTTGTCCACATCTCTCATGTTATAGCTGAGTAAAACAACATCCATGGAGGGCAAGCGAGGACTCATCACAAACTCGGGTTTCTTGACTACTAGACCAGGGTACTCTTCTGTCTCTATCTTACTAAATAGAACCAGCTCATTACCCACTCCTTGTGAACAGAATTGAGCCACCCTAAAAGCTTGGTTAAGACTTTGTAAACAGAGTAGAATGTGTCTCATCATAATGTAATACACCCACATTCCTATCATTGGTCTGTTCCTGATGTTAACTTTTAAAATACAGTTCAAACACCACCTCCTCCTTGAAGCCTTTTTTAACCACCCCCAGCCAGAGAGAACGGATGACTTCCTTCACTGTGCCTTGCCCCCTGCTACTCAGATTTTTTCCAGGGTGCCTATAACTCTGCTTTGCACCAAGTCCCTTGCACACTCATCTTCTCTACCAAAATCTTGTGGCTCTTTGTTCCCTGAGAAATGGAGAAACATAAGACCTGGCACAGAATGGAACTTAGTAAATGTTTGAATGAGCGAACCAATCAATTAAACAATGAATGAATCTGCTCTCCTAATGCATGACCCCCACCACACCCATCATCTGTCCAGAGTAACCTCTCATCACTCGCAGCTAAACACAGGGAAGTCATTACTGTCCAGTGCCATTCAGTGCCAACAGATCCCAAAAAGAACCAGTGCCAAGCCCGGCACCAGTGCTCTGAGCAGTCTGACACTCTCCCCTAGGGTATCCCATGGAATCCCAATACCACCCACACAGAATGAAGAGGGTGCGAATTCTTTGCCCCCATTAATAATGGGCCCATTTCTCATCTGGCTTCAGAGCCTGTGAAGCCAATCCAGGCACAGAAACTTCAAAGGGAGCTTGGAGCTGGAATTGGCCCCAGAGGGCACAGAGCAAGACAAAACACAAGCCACAGTTTTTATACTATAGTTGGTATATAGGAAGTCATTGTTACCAAGAGCTCGCCCTGCCAAGCCTACCAGATTGAAGGAGCTGAATATCTCCCATCTCTGCATAGCTTAGCACTTAGTGCACAAACTATTTTGGCTCCAAGGCCCACCAGACTGAAATGGGAATTGCAATGTGGGGTTTTATTCTCTCATGGAAAACTCCTTCCACACCTAAAAAAGAATCAGACTCTAAAATCAAGTCTACCCAACGTGACCTTAAAAACAATGTAGTAAGCCAGAGTTATTTAAAACAAACTAGAATAATCCTAACTGGGTAAGAACCTGCTGCCTCTGGGCTGAGGAGGCCTGATCCCAGAGAGGGACCCCTCCTCCTCCCTAGGCCTTTTGGCCCCATGCTCCAATGGTCTCCTACAAGCCTTGATTTCAATATGAGCAAAGCCAGGTGGAAACTATGAGTTTGAATGAATCTCCCCACTAGACTGTAAGCAACTTGCAGAAAGCACTTTTTTCATCTCCTTACTCCTTTAACACCTTGCAAAGTGCTTGACTCAACACTGTTTAAAATTATCTTTCTTATTTATTGGTTTACTTGTCTGTTATCTGTCTTCCCTACCACTAGACTTAAAGAACCATGAAATAAGAAACATGTTCTATTTTGCTTGTCACTATATCCCCAAAGGCTGGAGAAGAGACTAAAACATAGTCGCACTAATAAATATTTGATGAACAACTGTCGAATGCTTGGCATATGATCAGGATGGTCTTCAACCAATCCAGTTCTCCCCTGTTTTAGAATGCACTGAGAATCAGTCTGGGCAACATAGCAAGACCCTGTCTCTACAGAAACTTAAAAAAAAAATTAGCCAGGCATGGTGTGCACACCTGTAGTCTCAGCTACCTTGGAGGCGAGGTGGGAGGATTGCATGAGCCTGGGAGGTCAAGGCTGCAGTGAGCCATCATTGCACCACAGCACTCCAGTCAGGGCAACAGAGTGAGGCCTTATCTCAAAAAAAAAAAAAAAATTTAGAATGTGCTGAGAATGCCACATCCTTGAGATAGAGAGGAGCTGGCCGGAATAGCCAGAGCTCTGTCCCAGTCTCCCTCAGAAACAAGATTCCATCAGTGCTTCAGCCCCACATGTCATGTGACCTTAGGGTATAAAACCCATGGAATGCTGCTTTCCAGGGTCCCTCTGCAGTGCTGCAAATGAAGCGTGTGCAGTTGAAGCTCTATCCACCCCAGGCAGCTTCCCTGAGTCTTGGGGGATGGGTTTACAACAGGCCCTCGGCATCTCTTGCCCCTTGCTATCTATCTGTAAGTAATAAACCCTCTTTATGTAACCTGTGATATGCATGGGTGTTCTGCCTCATGAGACTAGACAAGCTGGTAACTAGTGCATGGTGAACCAGCTGCACAGTATGCACTCATGAGTGAAACAATGAGTGAGTGACCAAATGAAGTGTCCATCCATGTGGATGATACAGATTATGGGAGAATTTGATAAATGGAAAGAAAACCAAATCCAGGTTATTCAGAAAGAAGCGGGGATATTCTGACCAATAAACCTAGGACAAGTGGGAACAGGTTGTTTTCAAAATCCGTGAGGGTCTCCCTGGGGAAAGAGGAATGGGATGTCATGGGCTGCAGGATCTAGAGCAAGACTATGGTTGCAGGTAGTAGAGGAGTGGAGGAAGAGAATGAACTAACAGTAAAATGTGAGACCTCAGTGGCAGTCCAAGATGACCATCAATCAGCATGGTCCTTAAAAATCATTGCAGCATTTGGGTTTCTTAGCAATGCCCCCATTAACCTATAGGGAACCTTTGTGAAAATTAGGAAAAGGTGTCCCCTTGCATGGATGCAGCCCTAGAGGCACACTCCACAGGTTGGGGGAGTCACACAGAGAAAAAGAAGTCTTTCCCTTGGAGCTTGGACTGGATTTCAGCCCCCATGTGCCTCCTCAGGTGTGTGCAATGCCAAAATTGCACCATTCTGGGTTGCTGCCCTGTTGGAGAGACCAGTGACTGCAGGGGTCCCCAGACATGCTGCCATAGAGATCTGGGAAGATTCTTCGTAAATACAGTCTCCTCCAGAAATGCGGATTTACTCACTCACTCGCTCATTCATTCATTCATTCCTTCATTCTGCTGCTGCTGCTGCTGCTGCTGCTGCTGCTGCTGCTGCTGCTGCTGTTGTAGCTTGTTGTTGTTGCTCTGTCTCTGATGCCCACATGATTCCGGTGATCGGTCAGATCTGGGAATGGCTGGGCTGAATGACCTCTGTGAATGCTTTCAATTTCAACATCTTGATTGTTGTTGACACATTGTGGGGACCTCACAGCTCCTCAGAAAGAGGATTTCATTTAGAATCTGACACATCGCTTCTTCTTTTAGCAAAAGTCAATAAAAGCTTTTCAAAGAAAAACTCTCCAAAGCAATACAATTTGAGAGACAAAAACAAAAAAGAGAGAGCTCATTGATTTAAACCAACTTGGAACCCTAGCAAAGATCAGTTCACGGCAAATCAAATCAATTGTTGACAGAATGATGCCAAATACTCATATTTTTAGGGTCTTTTAGATAAAAAGGAAAAGACATTACTTAGACATTTAGTAACTTCTTGTCATATATCCAAAGTCCAACAGGTAAGGAGAGATCTTGATGAATGGCTGCTTTCTTCCCATATACTCTGCAAATGTACAAGGCTCATAACATACAACTGTAGCCAGGGAATGTTACCACTCTGCAAACCAAAACCTAGTTCTAGAGACAGGGGTGGGGGCACAGGCCTGTAATCTCAGCTACTCTGGAGGCTGAGGCAGTAGAATCACCTGGGCAACATAGCAAACCTCAACTCTGGAAAAAAAAAATTAGTGAAACTTATCTCTGGAAAAAAAAAAAAAGGAAAGGAAAAAGAATTTTTTTTTTAATGAAGTGAAAGTTGATTCTCGCCTCCAACTATTTTTTTAAGCCATCTTTGTTCAAGGCCAGCGTCCAAGAGGACAGGCAAGACATTCCCCAGGAATGAAAGGAGAGGGAAGAAGGAGGACAAAAAAAGGAGGTAAATCCAAGTTCCTAGAAGGCCTGCGTTTGATCACACGATACCTATTTTCAGTAACCTTGGGGGCTGCAGATTCCTCAGCCAGGCTGCCTGCCCTCAGGAATTCGACCTGCTCCCGCGAGCTCACCTTCTTCTGCTCTGGTCATGCCAACACCCTCACTCACTGCCTTGGCCCCATGGGATGCCCATTCACCCCTACCTGTGGAGCTTGTTTATAAAGGGCTTAGGAGGTTGAAATATTACCTCTGCCTATTACTAGCCATACCATCCTTTGCTTACATTTTTCTCATCTGTATAATGGGGATCATAAATGTTCCTATTTCAAAGAGAGATAATAAATGTGAGAATTAAATGGGCAAATGCAAGCAAAGCATGAGAACAGGACAGTGTGCATAGTGAGTGTGAGGCGAATGCATGCTCTGGTTATTTTAAATCGCATGATGTTCATGTTTGAAGCCACCCTCCCCACGCTGGCTTTTTTCATCACATGTCTCACTGCGTGGGAATTTTTCCATGACTGTTGCCTGCTCTAGGTGATGTGTTCCCTGTGGGAAGGGTCCACTTAAATATAAATCCCCAGAACTAACACAAGGGTTGGCCCAAAGAGCACTTAACAAATGTTGAGGGAATAAATGAATCAACAGAAAGTCAGTGGTTTAAGGCATTTAGACAACTATGTGAATCTCACAACTACCCCGTGAGATTAGATAAGCAATTATTATCCTTCCCATTTTATGGTTTGAGCAACTAAGGCCCTGAGAGATTAAATGATTTGTTTAAGGCCGGGCAAGGTGGCTGATGCTTGTAATCCCAGCACTTTGGGAAGCCGAGACAGGCGGATCACTTGAGCCCAGGAGTTTGAGACCAGCCTGGGCAATATGACTAAACCCCATCTCTACTAAAAATACAAAAATTAGCCAGGTGTCATGGCACATGCCTGTAGTCCCAGCTACTTGGGAGGCTGAGATGGGAGAATTGCTTGAGCCTGGGAGCCAGAGGTGGCAGTGAGCCTCAATCATGCCACTGCACTCAGCCTGAATAACAGAGCCAGACCCTGTTTCAAAAAAAGAGAAAGATCTCTTTAAAGTCCCATGGGTAATAAAGGGGAAATAAGCTTCCTGTGCATTGTCTGACACCATGAGGTTTTTTGCAGGTCTGACTCCATATTCTTACTGATGGGGAGATATGGATAGTCTTAGAAAGAAGTGCTTTAACTAACTCTTAATGTTAGTGAAGCATTTTCTAGATGGAGAACATAAATAATGATACTCTAGGTGAAGGATGCCGTATGGTCATAGGCAATGGCAAGCATGCAGGGGGAATACAACACTTTTGTACGAGATTCCAAGTTTCTTGAGGCCAGGGGCTTCATTGTTCCCCCAATGATTACCACCACAGAGCTCAAGTGTCTGGCACAGAGCAAGCAAGCAATTGCCTGTTGAAAGAATGGATGGATGGGTGGGTGGATGGATGGATGGATAGATGGATGGATGGTTAAATGGGAGGATGGATGAATGGATGGATAGATGGATAAATGGGAGGATAGATGGATGGATGAATGAATGGATGGATGGATGAGTTGGTGGATAAATAGAGGAGAAAATTAGAGAAAAAGAAGCTCCTCTGCTTACAGAAAAGTTGGTTCCTAGAGTGTTCTTAAGTCCAAAGTGGTATTTTACAAGCACCTTCTCATGCCATCTGTTGGTAGTGGTGAGAGTTGATGCATTTAATTCTGGTGCATGACTGTTTTCACTTTATTTTTGTTTTTGTTTGTTTGTTTTTTCTTTTTGAGACAGGCTCTTGCTCTGTCACCCAGGCTGGAGTGCAGTGACATAATCACAGCTCACTGCAGCCTCAACCTCCCAGGCTCAAGTGATCCTCCCACCTCAGCCTCCCAAGTAGCTGGGATTACAGATGTGCACCACCATGCCTGGCTAATTGTTTGAAATTATTTTTTGTAAAGATGGGGTCTCACTATGTTACCCAGGCTGGTCTCAAACTCCTGGGCTCTAGCAATCCCCCCACCTTGGCCTCCCAAAGTGCTGGGATTACAGGAGTGAGCCAACACATCTAACCTGTTTTCATTTTAACTCAAAAGTACACAATAGAAGAAAACTTATACTGGAAAATGTAGCAAGAAAGAAACAATGATCAGCTTATTGAGGGCTTTATGATATTGTGCTTGGACATTAAATCTGGAGGTAGCGAAACCCCAGAGTGTTGGAAGCTAGATTCTGCCTGTGTCTCTCTGGTCCAGAATGATCTCTTAGGTTGCAGTGGAGAGGGTGAACTGTGAGGGAACAGATTAAAGACAGGGGCCCAGGTAAGAAACAGCTGTCATGGAGTAAGATATAGGTGGAAATTGAGTCCTAATATCTTTTCAACCATCTGGGACACCTAGTCTCTCATATCAGTTTCTACAAAGATGTACAATAGAGGTTGGGTGATGTGATGTCATTTAGGTCCTCTGACAAGCCTTCTCAAGAGTGTGGGAGGTGAGTTGCTCCCATACACATTCTCATCAAGTCATCTTTCTCTCCATCTACCCCCAAGAATGGGAGTTAGACAGCAACAGACAATTCAAACAATGTGAGTATCCAAAACTGACAAAGCAGATTTTTTGGAAGTTTAGCAATTGCCAAGTGAAAAACTTGATGGTTCATTTAACACTTTAAAGCAATGTACCTAATGGCAATTCATGTAGGAAGATTGGAAGTGGATTTTTATGCAAAAATGCCTGGAATGACTTGCATCTGGCCTATGACACACCATCAACATCCTCTATCTCCTCACCCCCAAGACTGCTGGTAGCTTCTATTTTTGGCAAAACAGACCAACCTGCTTCGAGGTGTCCTTTATTTTCCTGGGATTTGGAAGGTTGTGCCATAGCATTTGTGGACAGAACATATTCACAGTAGCAAGACACTGAGAGGAAAGAGGGCATCCGCTGGCATTGCTGACAGTTTTCTGGGAGCTCTCTCACAAGCAGGCAGCCTTGAGATGTCCAGGGTTCGACAGCAACAGATCAGTGACACATTGCTTAGAATCTGCTATTAATTAAAAAGTGATATTACGGGGGGAGGAGCCAAGATGGCCGAATAGGAACAGCTGCGGTCTACAGCTCCCAGAGTGAGCGACGCAGAAGAAGGGTGATTTCTGCATTTCCATCTGAGGTACCAGGTTCATCTCACTGGGGAGTGCCAGACAGTGGGCGCAGGTCAGTGGGTGCGCGCACCGTGCGCGAGCTGAAGCAGGGCGAGGCGTTGCCTCACTCGGGAAGCGCAAGGGGTCAGGGAGTTCCCTTTCCTAGTGAAAGAAAGGGGTGACGGACGGCACCTGGAAAATCGGGTCACTCCCACCCAAATACTGCGCTTTTCCGACGGGCTTAAAAAACGGCGCAGCACGAGATTATATCCCGCACCTGGCTCGGAGGGTCCTACCCCACGGAGTCTCGCTGATTGCTAGCACAGCAGTCTGAGATCAAACTGCAAGGTGGCAGCGAGGCTGGGGGAGGGGCGCCCACCATTGCCCAGGCTTGCTTAGGTAAACAAAGCAGCCAGGAAGCTCGAACTGGGTGGAGCCCACCACAGCTCAAGGAGGCCTGCCTGCCTCTGTAGGCTCCACCTCTGGGGGCAGGGCACAGACAAACAAAAAGACAGCAGTAACCTCTGCAGACTTAAATGTCCCTGTCTGACAGCTTTGAAGAGAGCAGTGGTTCTCCCAGTACGCAGCTGGAGATCTGAGAACGGGCAGACTGCCTCCTCAAGTGGGTCCCTGACCCCTGACCCCCGAGCAGCCTAACTGGGAGGCACCCCCCAGCAGGGGCACACTGACACCTCACACAGCAGGGTACTCCAACAGACCTGCAGCTGAGGGTCCTGTCTGTTAGAAGGAAAACTAACAAACAGAAAGGACATCCACACCAAAAACCCATCTGTACATCACCATCATAAAAGACCAAAAGTAGATAAAACCACAGAGATGGGGAAAAAACAGAACAGAAAAACTGGAAACTCTAAAACGCAGAGCGCCTCTCCTCCTCCAAAGGAACGCAGTTCCTCACCAGCAACGGAACAAAGCTGGACAGAGAACGACTTTGACGAGCTGAGAGAAGAAGGCTTCAGACGATCAAATTACTCTGAGCTACGGGAGGACATTCAAACCAAAGGCAAAGAAGTTGAAAACTTTGAAAAAAATTTAGAAGAATGTATAACTAGAATAACCAATACAGAGAAGTGCTTACAGGAGCTGATGGAGCTGAAAACCAAGGCTCGAGAACTACGTGAAGAATGCAGAAGCCTCAGGAGCCGATGCCATCAACTGGAAGAAAGGGTATCAGCAATGGAAGATGAAATGAATGAAATGAAGCGAGAAGGGAAGTTTAGAGAAAAAAGAATAAAAAGAAATGAGCAAAGCCTCCAAGAAATATGGGACTATATGAAAAGACCAAATCTACGTCTGATTGGTGTACCTGAAAGTGACGGGGAGAATGGAACCAAGTTGGAAAACACTCTGCAGGATATTATCCAGGAGAACTTCCCCAATCTAACAAGGCAGGCCAACGTTCAGATTCAGGAAATACAGAGAACGCCACAAAGATACTCCTCAAGGAGAGCAACTCCAAGACACATAATTGTCAGATTCACCAAAGTTGAAATGAAGGAAAAAATGTTAAGGGCAGCCAGAGAGAAAGGTCGGGTTACCCTCAAATAGACTTTAAACCAACAAAGATCAAAAGAGACAAAGAGGCCATTACATAATGGTAAAGGGATCAATTCAACAAGAAGAGCTAACTATCCTAAATATATATGCACCCAATACAGGAGCACCCAGATTCATAAAGCAAGTCCTGAGTGACCTACAAAGAGACTTAGACTCCCACACATTAATAATGGGAGACTTTAACACCCCACTGTCAACATTAGACAGATCAACGAGACAGAAAGTCAACAAGGATACCCAGGAATTGAACTCAGCTCTGCACCAAGTGGACCTAATAAACATCTACAGAACTCTCCACCCCAAATCAACAGAATATACATTTTTTTCAGCACCACACCATACCTATTCCAAAATTGACAACATACTTGGAAGTAAAGCTCTCCTCAGCAAATGTAAAAGAACACAAATTATAACAAACTATCTCTCAGACCACAGTGCAATCAAACTAGAACTCAGGATTAAGAATCTCACTCAAAACCGCTCAACTACATGGAAACTGAACAACCTGCTCCTGAATGACTACTGGGTACATAACGAAATGAAGGCAGAAATAAAGATGTTCTTTGAAGCCAACGAGAACAAAGACACAACATACCAGAATCTCTGGGACACATTCAAAGCAGTGTGTAGAGGGAAATTTATAGCACTAAATGCCCGCAAGAGAAAGCAGGAAAGATCCAAAATTGACACCCTAACATCACAATTAAAAGAACTAGAAAAGCAAGAGCAAACACATTCAAAAGCTAGCAGAAGGCAAGAAATAACTAAAATCAGAGCAGAACTGAAGGAAATAGAAACACAAAAAACCCTTCAAAAAATTAATGAATCCAGGAGCTGGTTTTTTGAAAGGATCAACAAAATTGATAGACTGCTAGCAAGACTAATAAAGAAAAAAAGAGAGAAGAATCATATAGACGCAATAAAAAATGATAAAGGGGATATCACCACCGATCCCACAGAAATACAAACTACCATCAGAGAATACTACAAACACCTCTACGCAAATAAACTAGAAAATCTAGAAGAAATGGATAAATTCCTCAACACATACACTCTCCCAAGACTAAACCAGGAAGAAGTTGAATCTCTGAATAGACCAATAACAGGATCTGAAATTGTGGCAATAATCAATAGCTTACCAACCAAAAAGAGTCCAGGACCAGATGGATTCACAGCTGAATTCTACCAGAGGTACAAGGAGGAACTGGTACCATTCCTTCTGAAACTATTGCAATCAATAGAAAAAGAGGGAATCCTCCCTAACTCATTTTATGAGGCCAGCATCATTCTGATACCAAAGCCTGGCAGAGACACAACCAAAAAAGAGAATTTTAGACCAATATCCTTGATGAACATTGATGCAAAAATCCTCAATAAAATACTGGCAAAACGAATCCAGCAGCACATCAAAAAGCTTATCCACCATGATCAAGTGGGCTTCATTCCTGGGACGCAAGGCTGGTTCAATATACACAAATCAATAAATGTAATCCAGCATATAAACAGAGCCAAAGACAAAAACCACATGATTATCTCAATAGATGCAGAAAAGGCCTTTGACAAAATTCAACAACCCTTCATGCTAAAAACTCTCAATAAATTAGGTATTGGTGGGACATATTTCAAAATAATAAGAGCTATCTATGACACACCCACAGCCAATATCATACTGAATGGGCAAAAACTGGAAGCATTCCCTTTGAAAACTGGCACAAGACAGGGATGCCCTCTCTCACCACTCCTATTCAACATAGTGTTGGAAGTTCTGGCCAGGGCAATTAGGCAGGAGAAGGAAATAAAGGGTATTCAATTAGGAAAAGAGGAAGTCAAATTGTCCCTCTTTGCAGATGACATGATTGTATATCCAGAAAACCCCATTGTCTCAGCCCAAAATCTCCTTAAGCTGATAAGCTACTTCAGCAAAGTCTCAGGATACAAAATCAATGTACAAAAATCACAAGCATTCTTATACACCAACAACAGACAAACAGAGAGCCAAATCATGAGTGAACTCCCATTCACAATTGCTTCAAAGAGAATAAAATACCTAGGAATCCAACTTACAAGGGATGTGAAGGACCTCTTCAAGGAGAACTACAAACCACTGCTCAAGGAAATAAAAGAGGATACAAACAAATGGAAGAACATTCCATGCTCATGGGTAGGAAGAATCAATATCGTGAAAATGGCCATACTGCCCAAGGTAATTTACAGATTCAATGCCATCCCCATCAAGCTACCAATGCCTTTCTTCACAGAATTGGAAAAAACTACTTTAAAGTTCATATGGAACCAAAAAAGAGCCCTTATTGCCAAGTCAATCCTAAGCCAAAAGAACAAAGCTGGAGGCATCACACTACCTGACTTCAAACTATACTACAAGGCTACAGTAACCAAAACAGCATGGCACTGGTACCAAAACAGCATGGTACTGGTACCAAAACAGAGATATAGATCAATGGAACAGAACAGAGCCCTCAGAAATAATGCCGCATATCTACAACTATCTGATCTTTGACAAACCTGAGAAAAACAAGCAAGGGGGAAAGGATTCCCTATTTAATAAATGGTGCTGGGAAAACTGGCTAGCCATATGTAGAAAGCTGAAACTGGATCCCTTCCTTACACCTTATACAAAAATCAATTCAAGATGGATTAAAGACTTAAACGTTAGACCTAAAACCATAAAAACCCTAGAAGAAAACCTAGGCAATACCATTCAGGACATAGGCGTGGGCAAGGACTTCATGTCTAAAACACCAAAAGCAATGGCAACAAAAGACAAAATTGACAAATGGGATCTAATTAAACTAAAGAGCTTCTGCACAGCAAAAGAAACTACCATCAGAGTGAACAGGCATCCTACAAAATGGGAGAAAATTTTCGCAACCTACTCATCTGACAAAGGGCTAATATCCAGAATCTACAATGAACTCAAACAAATTTACAAGAAAAAAACAAACAACCCCATCAAAAAGTGTGCAAAGGACATGAACAGACACTTCTCAAAAGAAGACATTTATGCAGCCAAAAAACACATGAAAAAATGCTCATCATCACTGGCCATCAGAGAAATGCAAATCAAAACCACAATGAGATACCATCTCACACCAGTTAGAATGGCAATCATTAAAAAGTCAGGAAACAACAGGTGCTGGAGAGGATGTGGAGAAATAGGAACACTTTTACACTGTTGGTGGGACTGTAAACTAGTTCAACCATCGTGGAAGTCAGTGTGGCGATTCCTCAGGGATCTAGAACTAGAAATACCATTTGACCCAGCCATCCCATTACTGGGTATATACCCAAAGGACTATAAATCATGCTGCTATAAAGACACATGCACACGTATGTTTATTGCGGCACTATTCACAATAGCAAAGACTTGGAACCAACCCAAATGTCCAACAATGATAGACTGGATTAAGAAAATGTGGCACATATACACCATGGAATACTATGCAGCCATAAAAAATGATGAGTTCATGTTCTTTGTAGGGACATGGATGAAATTGGAAATCATCATTCTCAGTAAACTATCACAAGAACAAAAAACCAAACACCTCATATTCTCACTCATAGGTGGGAATTGAACAATGAGATCACATGGACACAGGAAGGGGAAAATCACACTCTGGGGACTGTTGTGGGGTGGGGGGAAGGGGAAGGGATAGCATTGGGAGATATACCTAATGCTAGATGACGAGTTAGTGGGTGCAGTGCACCAGCATGGCACATGTATACATATGTAACTAACCTGCACAATGTGCACGTGTACCCTAAAACTTAAAGTATAATAATAAAAGAAAAAAAAGAAAAAAAAAGTGATATTATAGCTATACAAGAAAAAACGACTAAGCTTTATACGTAGAATGGCCATTGTCCAAGCCAGAACACTTTTGAGAGTGAAAGAACACACTATTAATAATTGTGGTGGGAAGAGAGAAGTTTACAAGAGAAGTAAACCTGAACTATCCCCTGCGAACAAGGAAAGGTTGTCATATGGCCCTGTCTCACTGCTCTGTTCACCTGTAAAATGAAACACTTCACATAGGTAACTTTTCCAGGTAACTGAAATTTACCTTATATGAGCTTTTATTTGCTTTCCTTTTTGCTACTGTTGATGAAAGCATTTCTAAAAAGTTAAACTACTCCTCAATAACCAATATATTTTATCTTTTTCTCAATGGTTTAGAATCACCTTTTGCCTGACACAGAGTTGACTTGCAGAGTAGTTGAATGAATCACTAAATTATTATAAACAATTATTATGGTGTATTGTACAATATACCACAAGCACTCACAGGGAATTTGAGTAAGTTATTTTTGCCTCTCTTGACCCAGTTTTCTTAGATCTAAAATTGAGAGCTAAAGAGAGAAGGGTCTTGCAGGTCCCTTCAAATTCTAATAGTCTATGTTTGAATTTATTAATTTGCTCCCAGAAGTGATCGTCATTTTAATGAAGCTACCTGTGAAAAATATTTTAAAGAGGAACAGAAGACACAACATGTAATTTGTGAGGAGTCCACGTGGCTCTAAAGTAGCCATTTTCCATTTGGAAAGGACTTAGTTACACTCTTGTGCCTAAAGTAGTGACTTAACAATGAAAAAGAGACAGCATTTTCCCACCTCTGTGGTTCCCTTGCTTTCTCGTGCATCCAACAGTCACTTCCTGCTCACCTGCTTCCTGAGGGGATGCCAGTGTGAATCCACCAAGTCCTGCAGCCCCAAAACGACAGGTTCTAGAAGTGGAGAACCAACATGGATACACACGGCTTTCATCCAAGAGAGAAAGAGTAGCGTCAGAAGAGGAGGCAAAGGATTGCTGTGGGAGTTTGGAGGCTGCGATCAGTTCCAGCTTGGTGGGGTGAGGCGGAGAACTGGGAGAGGCTTCATGAAGAAGGCCTCACTGCAGCTGTGGACAGTTAATAAAAGTGCATGTTCAGAAATGCAGAGAGGGTCTTCCAGGTGGAGAAAGTAGTGTATGCAAAAGCATGGAGGTGGAAAAATGTTTCAGCAGGAACAACCAGTCAGATGTATCTGGGATACAGTCCTCAAAAGCAAAGACTGCGTCGTATTTATCTACCTTTTTGTCTCCAGAACCTATCGTCTAATAAATCCTCAATGATGACTGATTGATTGTATGAACGAATGAATGGAAGAAAAGTAATAGGAATAAGTTTGGGATGGTTGTACTTCGCTAGGTGGAGTGCCTGTCTATCACATGCATACGAGAGGATGCAGAAGAGCTTGACAGGTCTTGAATGCTGGACTAAAAAGCCAGGCTGGATCCGTAGGTAATGGGAGCCACTGAAGATTTCTTTCCAGCAAAGAGACTGTTAAGATGTTAGGATACCTGGAGTGGACAAAGTCAATCAGCCAGTATGCAAGACACAGAAGGGAGAAAACTGACAGTGGAGCGGGGGGTGGGGCGGGGGGGCTTTTTTTACTCTTAGGCTGAAGAATTTTAAAGTATTTCTCACAAACATGCTGTGATAATAAAATGAAAACGATGTACAAAGAGAGGATTTAAAGATTTCATTAGCGGCTACAAAAATTGTTTACCTCGGATACCAAACGTGGCTCTACCTTTTACGTTCTGCCTCAGAAAGTGTGTTGTGGTACATCCGGATTTCTTGAACCGGAAGTTATCGGGCTCAAGTGCTGGTAAGGGAGGAGAACAACATGGGGTGGGGTGGGGTGGGGTGGGGTGGGGCGGGGCGGGGCGGGGTCCCAGGAAGGAGGACTGTCAGTGAGGCAGGAACTGAGAGGTGCTGGCGTGTCCCATACCTCTCTCACCTTCAGAACTCCCTGAGGCCTCATGTTCTTTCTGTCTGTCATCAGAGGCTGAGCAGTACAGCAGTTGAGAGAAGAGGCTCAGGAACCAGGTGACCCGCGTACAAATCTTGGCTCCACCACTTAACTGCATGAGTTTGGAAAAGTTTCTTGTCACCCATTGGCGTCAGGGATCCTGCTTGTGCACTGAAGTCGTGACTGCCCCCAGCTCTGTGTTCAGGGACCTCCCATGGGAAGCTGGTACTCGAGTGTGGTAGGAGTGTGGACACCACAGAAAGTGGCAAATGCTGCAATGCTCAGAGCTGGTTTTTTTATATTTTTCCAGAGAGCAATTGTTAACACGGACAGCTCACCACTGTTTATACATACGTTTGCCATCATTAAAGCAGGAATATAAGAATAACAATAATACAGACCTCATGAGGTTATTAGAATCATTAAATTAGCTGATGTGAATCAAATGCTTAGAACAGTGCCTGCCGCATAGTTGGCACTCAATAAATATTACCCGCGATTATCCCAGGTTTTTGCATAGGTGTCTGTGTTCTGGAAAACAGAGAAGGACTGATGCATGTCTCTTAAAGGAGCTGGCTGTTCATCTCCACCTCACCAACCAGCACACAGCCCAATGCCCAGGCGCAGGAAGTGTGGGCCCAATTGAAATCATCCCCCAAAGGAGGTGAATTTGAGAAGAACCAACGTCCCCTGCAGGGATCAGCATTAGCATTAGGGGACCTTGCTCCTTTAATTAACAAACCAGGCGTAACTTTTACTACGCAGCCTGTCCTCTCCTGCCTCTCCTTCTTTCTTTTAACTCCAGTTCTTTAACAAATCCCTCTTTTCAGGAATGGGAAGCTGATCTGTTTGGGGACGTGCCAGTGAAGCGGTGTGCGTTGGCACCACCAGCGGCTGTCATTCTCAGGAGACAATGGGATTGGAGCGCCAAGGGGGAGAGTTCTCCATGCAGAATTTCCCTGCTTAATCCGCTCTTGTGCGCTGGCACCAAGTCAACAAAGGAAAGGAACCAAATTACCCGGGCGGCTTTGGCAGGCTGCACCACTGTCAGCGGGCCAGAAGTTAATTCCCTCATCTTCCCCCGTGCCACCAACTCAGGGGGCAGGTCTGGCCAGGCTGGCTTTCTGTGTAAGGCTGTCAGGTGGCGTGAAGGGGAAAGAACAGGCGGGCAGAGGGTGGTCCAATCGCCGGTGCAGCTTCACAGACAGACGGACGGACAGATGTCCTGTAGCAGCCCTGCCCCTCTCCCTGCCCCCAAAGCCTCAATACCGGGTTCTGTCTGATGCACCAGGGGAAGGAGGAGGAGGGTACCTGATGCGCAGCGTCTACAGTCCCCATATAAAAATGGGGAGTGGACCTTAACTTCAGTGGAGACAGGGCATAGGGACCTCAAATAGAGCAATTGGCAGTTCAACCTGGCACCAAGATGGGCTGTCATGGGGGTAATGGTACCCCATCACTGGGGAAGAGGGGGGACTGGCACCTGGGCTGCCCACCATGAAACACTCCTTCTCCACCACAGTTTGGGTGGGGAAAAGGGTCAGGGAGTGAGTATTTAGTGAGCCTGCTCGGTGCACCAACCCACTTAATATGCTTCATCTCCTGGGACCCTCACAGAGGTCCTGTCAGGCCTGTGACATTAGCCTCACCTAACAGATGTGGAAGCTGAGGTTCAAGAGTGAGCAACTTAGCCAGGGGCCTGGACCAGCCATTTGAACCCCGTTCTGCCCGAGCACAGGGCTGAGTCTATTTCAGAGACTGAAATACCACAGCAGAATTTCCAACATTAATAACCATACAATAAAAATTATTTTGTGTAATATTGCACTATAGGTCTACATACACAAAAGTTTACTGAAATGATGTGCGCCTTGCAGTGTGCAATGCACTTCATTTTCTATTCTATTGTATACTCCTCTATTTATTTTTTTAATTTAATTTTGTTGGGGATGGAGTCTCACTCTGTCTCCCAGGCTAGAGTGCAATGGCACAATTTCAGCTCACTGCAACCTCTGCCTCCTGGGTTCAGGTGATTCTCCTGCCTCAGCCTCCTGAGTAGCTAGGATTACAGGTGCCAGACACCAAGCCTGGTTAATTTTTGTATTTTTAGTAGAGACGGGGTTTCACCTTTTTGCCCAGGCTGGTCTCGAACTCCTGACCTCAAGTGATCCACCTGCCTTGGCCTCCCAAAGTGCTGGGATTGCAGGTGTGAGCCACCACGCCTGGTCACTCCTCTATATTTTTAAACGCAGAGGTTAATATATCAAATTGACATCAGGACCCACTAATGAGTTACACCCATAGTTGGAAAAACACTATGCTACCAGCCCAGGATATATCCTCTATGGAGGGATACTCTCCCAGCCAGCACTGCAGCCTGGCCCTCTTCTGGCAGGCAGGGTGAGGGCACTCACTTTAATGTAACTGGGTGGCCACTTGTAGGGCTATATCTAATATCTGAGCCTTGGTAGTGCCTACAAGCCCTTTCCTTCCCTTTCGCCTGACTTCTCGGGCCCACATGGAGTCCTCCAGCTTCCTCTGATGCTCCTGTCCCCATCAATCCTGCTTTCAGGAAGGATTTGCTGTTCTGTGTGCTCCCCACACATACACCCCTCCAGGGACACTGCCTGCCCCAGATCACTCATGGGGATCTAGAGGTATGTTGTTTGGGGAGCTACCATGTACCCGCCTTAGTCCTGCTTTAATTCTGAACACCAGGCTGTGGCTTGCTGGTAACTGCCCGGGGTAAGTGGAGTGGCACAGGCAAGTTCAAAGGGGCCCCTTTGCATAGACTCCCCTGACAGATAGCCTAGGGGACGCCATTAAGGTAGAAGGTAGAGCAGGTGCTGACATGCAGCCACCCTGGGTGAAGGAGGATGAGGCTAACTGGACCCCCAGGGAGATCAGCTGGGACCGCACCATCCCCAGAAGTGTGGATCCACCCAAGGGCCACGTGGATCCTCAAGGAGTGAGGAGTAGACCTGAGCCACGTGGGCTTCCAGCAGTTCCCTAGTTGCTGTGATCTGGAGAAGGTATTACAGGCTTACAGGTGTGCATTTCTACAGGGGCCAAGGGCAGGGCCAAGGGTCTTGGCAGAAGAGCTCAGCTTCAAGAAAAGGTCAGCCAGGACTTGCTTCAGAGCCCTGCCATAAGAAAGGCCCCCCGGCTGCCTGAAGGATCCCCTGGGAACTCTGCCATCGGTCAGAGCCTCCCATTCACCACCCCAGCACCAAAGACACAAAACCCAGGTGCATTCCTCTCAGAACAGAAGCTACGCTGTGCAGGGCAAGCCCTGAGGCTCTGCCACTCTGGTTGTGTGAGCCTGGGTGAGTCGGCTTTGCCCTTTGAGCCTGTCTCCTCATCTTTTAAATGAGGAGGTTAAATTGATCCCTGTCACTTTAGGATGGGATTAGCACACAGATGCTTTATAAACCCTTGCTTACTATTCGAGCAATTTAAGGCGAGGCTAATACAGAGCAGTGACTGGATAGCAGACATTGTGCTGATTCTCCTTCAATCCCCATAACCGCCATTAATATTCGGATGTGATTGAAGCCCAGAGAGGTAGATGATTCGCCCAGGTCATCAAGCCAACAGCAGCAGGGTGGGACGTAAACCCAGGAGGCTCAGCTCCAGAGCCACAGCCTCTCCCTGCTGTGCGGCTCTGCCTCTGGGCAGCTGTCTGTCTGCACTAGTCACCCTGCCTTATAGCTCTGGTTTCTGTGTCTGTCTCCTTCCCTGGACTCTAAATATCTTAAGGACAATGTCTTATTCATCTTCAAAGGAAGGAGCAGTCGGAGTCGAGCAGTGCATGGCACGTAAGAGGAGCCACCAGCATTTGCTAAATGCCACTGAATTCTTGATGTGCCACTGAATGGTTCATTCAAAAGGAATAATTTTGCCCAGAGATATGAAATATCTTACCAATTTCCCTGCTTTTCTGGAATTTGCTGCTCCCTGAAGAGGTCTCTGTCATTCCTCAGGGACGGGGCTCCTCAACAGGGCCACCATGGAATTCCAGTTTTGTGGACACGTTCTCAAGGAACCTGAGCTGATGCAGCCACACCACTCCACCCCACAGAGTCCTAGTCTCCCCTCTGCCTGTCAGAAAACAGCCTTCCCTGCCTAGCACATTTGCCTTTCAGAAGCCTTCTGGGAGCAGCTCAGCCCACTCAGACCTCCCCTCTGTTGGAGCCCAGAGCCCTTAATGTCCGTGACTCACTGGGTGAGGACTGCCCTTGCCTGGCACCTCTGCAAGACAGCATGCCCTCCTAGGAGGGACTGCCCTGCCAGGATAGACTGTGGACTGTGGACTGTGGACTGTGATGGAGCGTGACCTGCACAGGCCCCAGATATCTGGACCATCCCGCCCCATGGAGATGTCACATCTGGAGTCTGCCTCCAGATTTTCACTCTCATTCCCTTCCATGGCCTCTGTCGTCCCCAGCAGGATGACGGGCTCACCCTCTGTTCAGACATCAGGCCTCGTCTCTTCCCCAGGGACTGCTCTGACAATTCCTCCCCCAGACACAAACCTTCTTTCAGCAGCGCTGAGACTCTAAGCCCCTCTCCCCTTCAGCCAAGAGCCATTGTATCAGCTGTGATTTATGTAAAGGCTTTTGTTGGACTCCTGGTTTTGACAGTCTCTGTGTTTTCGAATGGTAATAATTACGGGGCCTTTCATCCTTTATTTACGGGATTGCTCTGGGGGCAGAGAGGCCTGGTGTTGGGGGAGGGAGGCTGGGGAGGGCAGACTCGTTTTCTGAGCCTCAGAAGCAAAGGAGTAGGGGTCCTTTGGAAGTTATAAATAGCAGTTCCCAAGAATAAAGAAGTCACCTCTCCAGGCTAAGGGAGCTCACAGAGGACAAAGGATGCCGAGAGCTGGGAACACCAGGCTTCTTCAAGACTGACAGGGCTAAACGGGAGTTTCCAGGGCCCGGCCTCTTGTTTTCAAGAAGCTGATTTTTGTCTGAACTCAAGTCTCTGGCTGAGGTGAAGGGAAGCAACTTAATTTCCATCGGCTAGCCAGTTGTGAGTCTCTTCTTCCATCACGATCTCTGATTGTTAGGAAGGGCTTCCTAAAATCGAGTGGAAGCCAACCTCTCATCCGGGTGCTCATCCAAGGCCCAGATGCTCCTCAATGTTTCCCAGCCTCCCTTGCAGCTGGGATGGGTTGTGTGGCTGGTTCTGGATAATGGGATGGGTGGAAGTGACACGTGCCACTTCCAGGTCTGGCTTAACATCATCCCATGTGTTTCTCCAGCTATCTCTTCCCTTCACTGGGAAGGGAGGAAGCCATTTCTGATGGCAATGCTTAAAGCAACATGACTGAGGCTAACTGCATGACCATCGCCCAACTTTAACATGAGCAACAAATGAACCTGCTTTGTGCTTAGCCAGCAGGATTTCAGGGTTTATTCATTCCTGCAGCAGAGCTAGTCCTGTCTGATTAGCCCCAGCTATTGTTCTGAGGTTCCTGGACACATAGATGACTAAGACTGGCTTCTGCCCTCAATGGGCTCACAGTCTGACAGAAGAGACAGTCACATGACTTAGTAGTCCAGAGGCTGCCATTGCCAGAGGCCAGGACCGTACCGGCACAGAGTAGGGTCCTTACCTGACTTGGAGGGCCCAGGGGTGCTTCCTGGAAAGAGGCAGCATGTGGAATGCCTTGGGGAATGGTGCAGGTCTTGGCCAGCAGAGCAGAACTGGGGAAGATTTTGGGCAGGGGAACAGCACAGAAAAGGCAGGAAGGGGAGATGCACCAGTGTCATGGAAGATGCTGTTCACTGCTCAGTGTTGGTCCTCCCTAGAGCAGGGTTAAATCCAGTCTCAACTGCCCACAGGCTTTATCGAGAGAAGAAACAGCTACCCTCCCTACCATGATCAGAGCAGGCTTTTGTGGGGAGCTAGAGTTTAGATTACAAGGAGGACGTCGATCATAGGAAAGATGTGCATCACAGGTTGGATGTGGATCACAAGGAGGATGTGGATCATGGGGAGCATGTGAATCATGGGGTAAATGTGGGTCACAGGGAGGATGTAGATCACGGGGAGGATGTGGATCATGGGGAAGATGTGGATCATAGGGAAGATGTGGATCATGGGGTGGATGTGGATCACAGGGAGGATATGGATCATGGGGAGAATGTGGATCATCGGATTGATGTGGACCATGGGATGGACATGGGGAATAGGGTGGATGTGGATCACGGGGTGGACTTGGATCACAGGGAGGATGTGGATCATAGGGAGGATGTGGATCATGGGGAAGATGTAAATCATTGGGTGGATGTGGATCACGAGGTGGATATGGATCACGGGGAGAATGTGGATCATGGGGAGGATGTGGATCTTGGGGTGGACATGGATCACGGGGTGGATGTGGATCACGGATTGGACATGGGGCACAGGGAGGAGGTGGAGCATGGAGAGGATGTGGATCATGGAATAGATGTGGATCACTGGTGATTGTGGATCATGGGGAGGATGTGGATCATGGGGAGGATGTTGAGCAAAACATGGATGTAGGTCACAGGGACAACATGGACCACAGGATGGGCAAGGATCATGGAGAGGAGATGGATCACAGGGAGGATGTGGATCATGGGGCTGTGAGGACCACAGGGTGCGTGAGGGTCTCAGGGTAGGCATGGATTTTGGGAAGAATGTGCAGCACAGGGAGGAAGTGGGTCTCAGCAAGGGCCTGAGAGCCCCTCCTGGTGACGGACAATGGGCCCTGAGGGCCTCTGCTGGTGGTGAACTATGAGGTGGCTCCAGGAAACTGACTTTTGCTAACATGGGTTTCAGGACCTCGTTCAGGAAGTCTAATGATAAAACAAATCATTCGATGCACCTAAGGATCAGAGACTACGGCTTTTCATCCTAACCCCAGCCTTGTGCTCTTTTTTCTTCTTTACCTAGGAAAGCCGGTGCAGATTTACAAAAGAGCATGAGGCTGGAAGAAAGCCAGACCTGGATGAAGCTCCCAGCTGTGGCCGGCGTGAGCTCTTTAGCTTCTGAAGTCACTTAGCATCTTGTTTGGAGCCTTCAAGTCCTCTCTGTGAAATGGGGCCGATAAACTCTACCTTAAAAGTTTGTTGGCCAGACACAGTGGCTCACACCTGTAATCCCAGCACTTTGGGAGGCTGAGACAGGAAGATTGTTTCATCCCAGGAGTTTGAAACCAGCTTGGGCAACATAGTGAGACTCCATCTCTTCAAAAAATAAAAAAATTAGCTGGCCGGGCGCGGTGGCTCACACCTGTAATCCCAGCACTTTGGGAGGCCAAGGCCGGTGGATCACGAGGTCAGGAGAATGAGACCAGCCTGGCTAACACGGTGAAACCCCGTTTCTACTAAGAATACAAAAAAAATTAGCCGGGCGTGGTGGCAGGCACCTGTAGTCCCAGCTACTCAGGAGGCTGAGGCAGGAGAACGGCATGAACCCAGGAGGCGAAGCTTGCAGTGAGCCGAGATCGCACCACTGCACTCCAGCCTGGGCGACACAGCGAGACTCCGTCTCAAAAAAAACAAAAAAGAAAAAAAAAATTAGCTGAGTATGGTGGCACAAACCTGTAGTCCCACCTACTCAGGAGGCTGAGGTGGGAGGATAACTTGAGCCTGGGAGATCAAGGCTGCAGGGAGCTGTGATGGCACCACTGCACTCCATTCTGGGTGACAGGGCAAGACCTCGTCTCAAAAAAAAAATAAAAATGGAAAAAGAAGAAAGTCTGCTGCAAGCCACCCTGCATCCTGTCAGGCAGTGACAGGCTTAGCACAGTACCTGGCAGGCGGGATCCTCAACATTTGTTGGTCACTATTATTACTGTCATCTTTGTTATTATTTATTTTATTTTATTTTTATTTTTGAGACAGAGTCTTGCTCTGTCACCCAGGCTGGAGCACAGTGTTGCAATCTCAGCTCACTGCAACCTCCACCTCCTGGGTTCAAGCAATTCTCCTGCCTCAGCCTCCCAAGTAGCTGGGACTACAGGTGCCAGTCACCACGCCTGGCTAATTTTTTTTTTTTTTTTTTTTTTTTGTATTTTTAGTAGAGACAGGGTTTCAGTATGTGTGCCAGGCTGGTCTTGAACTCCTGACCTCACGATCTGCCCGCCCCGGCCTCCCAAAGTGCTGGGATTACAGGCATGAACCACCACACCCAGCCATCTTTGTTATTATTGAGCACCTAACTCACAGGGCTGATACGAAATACCCATAAGAGAAAAGGGCTTATCTGGAAAGTGTTATCTAAAGATGCAGTCTTAGCCCATAGATGCCCCCACCAGCAGGCCAGTTGGCACCTGGGTACTGGGCAAGCCCCACAGACCCATGGCCCTCCTGGGCGGTGGTTGAGTTACAGAAGACAGGCAGCAAAGACACTGCGGCCTAGGGGCATGACTCCCGGTGAAAGCACAAGTGATGCTTGTCGGGACATTAACAAGCTGCTGCTTGTTCTGTGTAGCGGGCATTGAGCCTCTGGACAGGGAAGAGAAGGCAGTGCCCATGACTTGCCATGCCCTGAACTTAGATGATCTCGTTTACTCCTCACAACAAACCTGTGAGAAAGTGTCAGTATCCCCATCTTACCAATGGGGAAGCTTAGGCCCAGAGAGGGCAAGCAATTTGCTCACAATCACACAGCTGGTATGGATTTAAACTCCCACCTTAGCCTTAGCGTGCCTCCAGGACCCCTGCAATTCCCTCTTACCCTGAACATGGTCCTGGGGGACCCCATCTTAGCATGTGCAAAACCGAACAGGGTGAGAGCCCTGCCACACTTGACCTTGCATTTAGTAATAACAATGAGGGGGGAGGGAGAAGGGGGGAGGGGGAGGAACAGAAGGAGGAGGGAGAACATTACCAACATTTAGCACTCACCGGTCCTGGTACTTGCTCAGGACTTTAATTGAGCAAGTAAAGGACCCATCCCCGCACCACCACCACCCCAAGAGGATCTTGGGTCTGAGGAGCTGACCGATCCCCTCATTCAATCCTCACAGCCCTACCGAGAAGCACTCTCATTATCCCTCCCGTACAGGTGAGGAAACAGAGGCTCAGAGACGTTAAGTAACTTTCCCCAGATTTAGCATCTAGCTGAGGAGCAAAGCTGGATTTGAGCCAATGTCTGCCTGACACTACAGAGCTCCAGCTTTTATCCACTCCTACCTCTGAACTGCCTAAGGAAAAGGCCAAATGCACCAGTATACTCTAGAGAGAAAACTTGATGGGGGCAAATCAGGGAAGACTAGTAAATGTATGGCAGGAGGACAGCCTGAAGAGGGCGCAGGGCTCCCCGAGGTTCCCTGCTGGCTGGGCTGCTGGTGAATAGATGGAGAAAGCTGTGGGCCAATATGGCCTAGACGAATCCAGGGACTCTGGAGAAAGCCCTAGGCCACTTCAGATCCTTTATATACCCACTGAGTTCCTCACACAAGCACCATGAATTACAACTCTGTGAAGTGCAAGTTGTGACTATTCCATGTTAAAGATGAGGACCAGAATTACTTAAATGACTTACTCAAGGTCAGGCAGAGATAGTTGCTCTCTCTCCTCTGTTCCCAAAGCTCCTTGTGTACATTTCTATCATTCTTTTCTTTTCTTTTCTTTTTTCTTTCTTTTTTTTTTTTGAATCAGAATCTCAGCTCTGTCACCCAGGCTGGAGTGCAGTGGCACCCTCACTGCAGCCTCGAACTCCTGCCTCAGACTCCCAAGTAGCTGGGACTACAGGCATGTGCCACCATGCTTGGCTGATTTTTTAAATTTTTTTTGTAGAGATGGGCGTCTGGTTTTGTTGCCCAGGATGGTCTCAAACTGCTAGCCTCAAGCCATCCTCCCACCTCAGCCTCCCAAGTCACTGAGATTACGGGCATGAGTCACTGCACCTGCCTGGTTTCATACTTTTTTTTTCTTTTTTTTTGACATGGAGTTTTGCTCTTGTTGCCCAGGCTGGAGTGCAATGGGGCGATCTCGGCTCACTGCAACCTCTGCCTCCCAGGTTCAAGCAATTCTCCTGTCTCAGCCTCCCGAGTAGCTGGGATTACAGGCACATGCCTCCAAGCCTGGCTAATTTTTGTATTTTTAGCAGAGACGGGGTTTCATCATATTGGTTGGTCTCGAACTCCTGACCTCAGGTGATCTGCCTGCTTCGGCCTCCCAAAGTGCTGGGACTACAGGCATGAACCACCGCCTGGCCCTGGTTTCATACTTCGTTGTCTGTTTTCTCTAGAAGACTGTGAGCCCCTCAAGAAGGAGGCCAGTATCTTTGTCATCGCTGAGTTCTCACCTCTGAACACAACGCTAGAAACATAGTAGATAAGTAAATGAAGGAATGGAGTGAAAATTGAACTCTGATCCTCCCTCTTCTGTCCTCCCTCCCTCCCCTTGACCAAGGTATCAAACATGCAGGTTTCACTCCCAGAAGAATTACTGCTTTCGTGGTACAGGCACCACTGTTAATAAAAGGTATCTAGTGTTCAGGAGAGTTCTGCCTTCTCGTTTTACATGTGGGGCAACGGGGACTTGGAGAGAGGAAAGGAGTTGCTCAAAAGCTAGTGGTCCAGCTGGATTATGGAGACATCTCTGACCCTGCCACACTACTTGTGTGACCCTGTATCAATGGCCTACCTTCTCTGTGTCTTGGTAGCTCCCCCTATAAAATGGGCTCGACCTTCCTCACTGCAGCAGTAGGGAAGTGTCATTGAGGTCCTTTTGGAGCAGAACCATGCCGATTTCCTGGAGTCAGCTAACTCTGGGCAGAGCCCACCCTTCTGGGTCCCAGGGACTCCATCTGTGTGTATTACCCTCATTTCTCTTTGGCACTGAGAAGCTGGGACTGTCTCAGGGCATGGAGGCCTCTGAGCTCCTTGGTAGAAGAAAGATGAAGCATGCCCAGCTCTCCTGGTGTATTTCTTTCCTTGAAATTCAAATAATGCTATTTCCCCCCCTCCTTTTCCTCCAAGGTGACTTGGTGATTGGACTGTGGATATGGATTTTCTATGATGTTTAAGATTTACCATAAAAATCTACATGAATTGGAGATACTATTATTAGACTAAAAGCAAAGAGGCTCATTTCTTTCTGTCAGAGGGAGCGAGATCAGAGGCTTTTCTGCTCTCTAGGTTAAAAGGTACACCTTCCCAGAAAGATGAGAGCCAGTGACGGTTCCAACAAACGTGTCCTATGAATTTACTAAAAAACAAATTATCCATCTTGAAGGAATGAAGGGATCATTTGAATGCACTCCTGCTTCTGAGGCTGGAGAAATTTTTCCTGCCTCGTGTCTGTGCACCGTCGTCTCTGATGGGGCAGCCTCTGTCTGTGAGATCAGAATTAATTAAACTGTGCTTAGTTCACGCTTTTCGTGCCGTTAGAGTCGGAGAGCTGTTTGAAATAGGATTCCTGCTGATGAATGGGTCTGTACAATTATCGGTGACAATATGGTGCATACCCTGAGTCCTGGGCTGAGCGTGGAGGCCCTTCCCGGCAGGGAGGTGAGCCAGGCTTTGGGACAGAAACCTGTGTTCTCCCCAAAGACGGCATGGTTATTTTCTAAAAGACAAGCCCTTTTATGATTTTTCTTTTAATAGCAGGAAAGATGGCTGCAGCTCTCTGTTGGTAGGAAAGACGGTGAGTGCGGTGTTCTGAGAGCCAGCCTTGTAGTCACACCGACCTGGGCTCAGATCCTGCCTTTCTAAGTATAGAGCTATGAGCTGCCTCACAGCATTTCTGAGCCTCAGTTTCCTTTTCTGTAAAATGATAATGGCACCCACGGTGCAGATTGGCCCTAGGACCAGTCATTATCGGGGAGGGGAGGCATCCAGCACCATGGCCGAGGATTAGAGGGTGCTCAGTCAGGTCTCCATTGCGTATTTTGACATCTCTAATTTGAAGTTGCCGAGGTTTGAGTGTGGCTGCCCCATGACATCAGACTGCAGAAGCAGTTCTGAAAACTCCCTTCCTGCTTAATGAATGAAGACAGATTCTAACAGCTGGGGCCAGACAAAGGAACATGTGTCAGGCTCCGGAAGCTAGTCTCCAAAAGCACCCAGGGAGCAGGGAGGAATCTGGGTGAAGGGCAGGGCGGAGTGGCCAGACTGCGTGGGCCTACGCCGCTGCTTCCGCTTCCCAGAATTCCTAGGCCTGCATCAGTTCTGCCCGATTCCGCCTTCTTCCAGAGCAGTTATGAGCCCAAACAGAAGAATCTACAAGCCTTCTTTTATAAGCAGAGAAAGAGACTCCTAGCTTCATGAACAGCTTTCTTCACATGACTCTCCATCACTGGAAGGGGTGATAGCACCGCTTCAGATATTCCACTCGGAGACGGTCAACTCTTGATCCTACAATCACACTTAGCAATACAGCAAGGATGTTCAAAATATCAATATGGAAGAGAATAATAGCTTTCTCAGAAACTATTGCTTGTGATATCCAAAAGACGATTAAAGATGTATAAAATGCCCACGCCTCTTCAACAGAGAAAATCGGAAATTCAAACCAGCAATATCAGAATACCCTGCCAGGTACTTAAGGCACACAAGAATTGTCCTCACTTACTAGCTGTATGTTTATGAAAAAAAAAATAACTTAGCTTCTCTGAGTTGTAGTTCTCACATCTCTAAAATGAGCCCTTGTGAGGATAAAATGCAAATAAATACAGTTATGTATCAGTTGACTATGGGGATACATTCTGAAATATGCATCCTTAGGCAATTTTATCATTGTGCAAATATCATGGAATATACTTACACAAACCTAGATGGTAAATATCATTGCTACACACCTAAACTATATGGCATAGCCATTGTTCCTAGGCCACAAACCTGTGCAACATGCAACTATATTGAATACTGTAGGCAATCATAACACAATGCTAAATATTGTGTGTATCTAAATGTGTCTAAATATAGAAAAGGTAAAGTTGAAATACGGTGTGATAATCTTATGGTACCACTGTCATATAGTCGGACCACTGTGGACCAAAACAACGCTATGTACTGCATGGCTGTATGTAAAATGACCAGCACTCTCTGCTGGATACAGCCTTCTTTAAATGTGCTCCTGGTGACGGAATTCACCTTTGCCATCAATGACAAACACTTGTAGCATTTATGAATTGGAGGTTTACAATTCTGTTATGTAAAGTCTAACCAAGCAAAAGAGATTTGTAGAGGCAGCAAGAGGGGCAGTAAAGAATGGTAGACATGGCGTCCACCTAACAACTCCACATGGACTCTTGGTCCAGTGAATTTTTGAAGAGGGGGATGCATCTTAAGCATCTATTTTTTGTGGAATCAATATAAGTGGCACAATTTGTTCACCAAGATAGACAAAGGTATATAAAGATGTTGCTGGTTTTGTTTGTTTTTCTGTCTGGACAAGTGTCTAGGCAAGACATGCTCCCTACTTTGCCACAAAATGAAAATGTGGGGCCCCTTGTTCAAAAAGAAAGAACTTCAAGACAGTAACAAGAAAGCATTAAGGAAAATACGGTTCTCTTCTCCAAGGACAAGGCCTTTGTGAGCTTAGGGCCCTGGGACATCACTGGTTTACTGGTTTACTTTTATAAAGCCAGTCCTGAGTGTGGGACTTGGAGGAGGTGACAGTGCTGTAAGGAGAAAAAAAAACCTGCTGAGAGGCCATCTCTGAACCACTCAGTCCAGAGAAGTGTGGTCACATCACCCAAAGTCACCATCTTAATCAAACTTACCACTCTTGGACATGCTATAATATTTATTTGTTTACTGACTATACTCTAGAATGTAAAAGACTTTGATGCCTTATACAGCATGGCATAATACATTACATGTATAGGTGTACCTAACATATAATAGGTGCTCAATAAACTTTTGTCGCATGATAATGTAAAAGCAAAGATCAAGCCTGGAACATTTCATCTAGTGCAGGTTGCTAGCACCTCTTTGGGTTTCTGATGCTGATGTTCTCTGACAGAGCAATGAATAGCAGGTAGAAAGTATACCAGTTTGGGAAATGGGAAAACCTCATTTGAAAACCTCAAGGTGAAAAGATGCAACCTACAGACACAAGCCACAGTTGAGGTTTTCCCATTTCCCAAACTGAGTGAGTCACAATCTCACTTCATTCTATTTCTCCGAATACTGTATCTGTGCTGGTACCATGTCTAATCAAAATTAGATTTTCTCTGAGTCACAAAGACCTGAAAAATAGCACCTGAAAAAAATAGACATTAATCTGCTCAGGGGAACTATAAACAGTAAAACAATAGACATTAAAATCAAAAGGATGATCCATAAAATAAAAATTGACAAATTGGACTTCATCAAAGATAAAAACTTTTGCTCTGCAAGCCAGGTGTGGTGGCTCACGCCTGTAATCCCAAAGGCGAGGTGGGTGGATCACTTGAGGCCAGGAGTTCAAGACCAGCCTGGCCAACAGGGTGAAACCCTGCCTCTACTAAAAATACAAAAATTAGCCAGGTGTGGTGGTGCATGCTTGTAGTCCCAGCTACTTGGGCAGCTGAGGCACAAGAACCGCTTGAACCTTGGAGGCAGAGGTTGCAGTGAGCCAAGATCGTGCCACTGTACTCCAGGGTGGGAAACAGAGAGACACCTATCTCAAAAAAATGAAATAAAATAAAATAATAACAACAAAAAAACACACAAAAGTTTTGCTCTGTGACAGAAACTATTACAAAAATGAAAGGCAAGTAATAGACTGGGAGAAAATATTTTTAAATCATGTATCTAACAAATGATTTGTATTTAGACTATATAAAAAATTCTCAAAACTCAAAGTAAGAAAACAATCTAATTTTAAAATGCGCAAAAGAGCTAAACAGACATTTCACTAAAGATATATGGATGGCAAATAAGCACATGAAAAGATAATCTTCATTATTAGCCACAAGGGAAATGCAAATTAAAACCACGATGAGGTAACATACATACCCACTAGAATGGATAAAATGCAAAATTCTGACAATATCAAAACCGATGAGGAGGCAAAGCAAATGGTTCTCTCATTCATTGCCAGTTGGGGTGTAAAATGATACAGGCACTCTGGAAAACAGTTTCACAGTTTCTTATAAAGTTAAACATACACTTACCATGTGAACCAACAGTCCCATTCCTGGGTACTTACCCTAGAGAAATAAAAATGCAAATTCAGGCAAAAGTCTTTGAATGTCTCTAGTAGCTCTATTTATAATTGCCAAAAACTGTAAACAATTCAAATGTCCTTCAACATTTGAATGGAAAAACAAACTGTTGTACATCCCTGCAATGGAATACTACTCAGGAATGAAAGGAGCAAGCTATTGATTGACACAGCAACATGTATGAATGTTAAATGTTAATTTTGCTGAGTGAAAGCAGCCGGTCTCAAAAGTTATATAGTATATGATTCCATTTCTATTACATTCTCAAAATGACAAACCTATACTGGTGGAGAACAGAATAGTAGTAAGTTATTTTGAAAATAAAATTTAAAATAAAATATAAATATAAAAGTTTACTTTTCTCCTGATATGGTTTGGCTGTGCCCCACCAAATCTCATCTTGAATTGTAGTTCCCATAATCCCTAGGTATTGTGGGAGGGGCCCAGTCGAGGTAATTGAATCATGGGGGCAGTTACCCCTATGCTGCTCTTCTTGTGATATAGTGAGTTCTCATGAGATCTAGCAGTTTTATGAGGGGCTTTACCCCCTTTTGCTCGGCATTTCTCCTTGCTGCCGCCATGTGAAGAAGGACGTGTTTGCTTCCCCTTCCATCGTAATTGTAAGTTTCTTAAGGCCTCCCCAGTCGTGCTGAACTATAAATCAATTAAACCTCTTTCCTCTATAAATTACCTGGTCTCAAATATGTCTTTATTAGGAGCATGAGGACAGACTAAAGCATCTCCCATATGAAAGAAGTCCAGGTATAAGTATCTGAGCCGAGTATAGAGGTAACACAATCATCAAGTAGATAGATTTTCTCAGTTATCCACCTTCACCATCTCTAAGAAATGGCCCTGCAGAGGCTCAGAACTCAATACCCCAAAATATGGCACATTGGCAATTGAGAAAAGCGCAGAAGCAAGGTCACTCTGCCCTTCTCCAGCCTTTCTCCCCTGAAGTATAGTTATAAAGAAATTCTCTGAAGTACCTCCCCTAAAAGTAGGGCATACCTCCCCTTATTCTAGAGGGGTTTTGCCCAACATCCAGAGGCAAATAATGTCATACAAAGACACAGGAAAGGTCTAAACAAACAGGCCTTGCTGAAGTTTACCCAGTTTATTACCATTAGGTTATTCCTTTTTCTGTCCAATCATGTTTCTCCATAACTATACATTTCTTTCATCAGACTTATCATAAAATTACCCAGTTTTCCCTGGGTCTTTGAGTCCTCATTCCTGAAGATTCCTATGTCACTTAAAACTTTAGTTAAATAAATTTGTTATGCTTTTCTCTTATTAATCTGTCTTTTGTTACAGGGATGTCAGCCATGACCCTTGCAATAGGTGAAGACGAGCTATTACTTTTTCTCCCCTACAGCCCGCATCCTCCTGATACAAGAATATTGACAGAGCACCGCTCATCACAGCCACATTCCAAACATCAGGATGGAGGAAGGGGAAACACAGGGAGCCAGCTCTGTTTCCAGGAGTATTCCCTGTGATTATGTTTCATTTGCCAAAACACGGCCACACCTAGCTGCAAGAGAGCCTGAGGGATGCAAACTATTATCTGAGTGGAATTCTTATTAGTAAGAAAATGGGAAAATGAATATTGAAAAGCAAATTGCCTTCCAACTACAGAGTCCCAATTCCTTTCTCCAGCTCAAGCCAGTCTTCTAAGCTTTTGGCTCATATATCAATAGCCCACTTGACCTTTCCCCTAGGACAGCTAACAGTGATCTCAAATTCACATATTTCTAAACCAAAAAATTTTATTGTCTCTTCCTCCATCACCAAGCCTGTTCTTCCTCCAGTCTCTCATTTTTAATCAAAGCCCCACCATTCACCCAGCTACTCAAGCCACAAAGACTTCCCAGGGACTGGTGGGCTTGAGACAATCAGAATCTCTTCCAGAAGCTAATTACTATCCCATTACAATTTGGCACGGACCCAAACATTTCCCTGCTCATAAACAAATCAACAAATCAGAAAACACTGAGCATCTACAAGGTGCTCAGCCCTGGCTAAGAAATTATAAGGACACCATCAGCTGAGGAGACATGGGGCCTGGCCCAGGAGCTTACAGTGGAGTGGCAGGAGAAGGACACACACACAACCAGAGAGGGAGCAAAGTCAGATAAACACATTAAGCGCCAAAGGACTCTGCAGACCACCGGTGTCAGGACAGCTAGAGTAGCATCAAGGATGTCCCTTGATATAAGCAAAATAACACCACACCCAAAGTCCAGTTAGAAAAAGCAACTGATAAAGCTATGTTGCAGGGGCAGGCAGGATGTCTCATGCCTTTAATCCTAGAAATTTGGGAGGTTGTGTGGGATGATTGCTTGAGGCCAAAGTTCGACACCAGCCTGGGAAACATAGCAAAACCTCATCTCTACAAAAAATTTTAAAAGTTAGTCAGGCATGGTGATGCACACCTCTAGTTCCAGCTACTAGGGAGGCTGAGGTGAGAGGATCATTTGGGCCCAAGAGTTCGAGGTTGCAGTAAGCTATGATCATACCACTGCACCCTAGTTATGAAGAGGGGAGGCAAAAAACAACAACCCACACTTTCCCAATACTTCAAGACAATGGTAGAAGAGAAACCCCAAAGGCTCCATGATGAATTCATTATGCAGACTGACAATAAGGATCTTGGAGATCAGGGAAGTTTCTAGAAGATGAGATCTGAGCTGGACTATGACAGTCAGGTAAGATTCTGCTACCTGGAGAAAGAGAAATCCTTTGAAAGAAGACTTTGGGGACACGTGCCCCAGCTTCTCCTGGGGGTTATTGACACAGAGGAACGTGGCACAAGGGAGCAGTGGTGTGTCTGACATCTCTCCAATCAGTGGAAAGCAGAACTGGGATCAAGGAGGAAGGAAGCACAAATACTGCCAGACAAATTTAGATAATCCCTACAGTGTAGGGGTGGCAGTGTGGTTATGGGCAGTAGGTTTGAGAGGGTAACTGTGGGTGGTGGATCCTGAATACAGAGGTGATGTGTTGGATATTTTTCTCTCTAAGTCAAGGTCACAAACCCACTGCCTCCTGCAGGCTGAATCTGATCCATAGCAATTATCATCTGGTATCCAAAAGAAAGTGAATGCCTTTAGGGTGTTCTTTAGTTAAATGAAGTCCTCACCCCTGTGATCCTACTGTGGCCACTTCACAACTTTGTGATGACTCCATAGCCCAAAGGCATTTGAGTTTTTAAGCTTTGTAGGAAATTTCATGGTACTTTCAGCAAATTAAGGAGTGACATGCTTATAACCAAATTTCTAGTGCAATGATCCTACTGCCTGTGCAAGAAAGAGTGTAGGAAAGGAGAAACCTCGAATGGGGCCCAGTACTTATACCATAATATATGTCTTGGACTTGCAAATGATGAGCCTTGATAATTCAGCTTCCTTAGCTTGGGGGTAACTTGTCCTCTGAGCTTTACTGAAAGACAAATTGGTCATTACAGGCTTAGCTCTGAGAAGACTTCCTGAAGGGCCTGAGAAAATGGTGTGGCTCCAGCTGTTTCAGCTCCCAATGTTTGAGTCTTTACAGCTCAGGCACCACACAAGTGAGTGACAGAACCTTCAGGTGATTCCGGTTCCTGTTACTACTGATGGTGACTGTAGTAGACCCAGAGGTGAGCCCAGTCAGCTCTCAGCAATGCAAGAAGTAGCAATCAAAAGAACTGTTTTTTTCAACTGAGTTTTGAGATGGTTCTATAAGCAGGGAGAGACAATTGGTACCCCAGGTCTCCTGACCCCCAGTGATTCCTACTGCATCTCCATTTCTGAGGGCACACACATGAGCAGGTCCCAGAGGGCCTAGCACCACCCCAACTGCTCTGAGACCCCAGAACGAGGCACAGGGCAGGGGAAGAAGCAGACAACCATATCTGCAGAATGGGTGGCAGCAAGTTCTGGTGACATCTTGACCAGTGGGGTTGTTAGAGAAACCCTTTGGAAGAAGCATGTGAGGACACAAGCCCCAGCTTCTCCTAGAAGGTAATTGACATGGGGGAACATGGCATAAGGGAGCCCTGGGGTATTTGACATCTCTCCCATCAGACCACAAAGTCTGGTCATCAGCTGAACTTCTCAGGTCCTGCCATCTTAAGAACTTGAATTAAATCAAGTTGGCTTGCTCAAAAACTATCAATGGCTCAATTCTTTATTGGAAGAATTCTTAAGTCTCCTGCCTGCACATTAAGTGTTGCAGCTCTTTCACTGCTGTAGTTCACCAAGTTCCAAGTTCTTGTCCTACGACTGATAAGAATGGGGTATGGATACACTGGAGAGAGAGTAAGGCAAAGTAGAATTTATTGAGCAACAGAAAAGCTCTGGACAGTGAGAGGGGACCCAAAGGTCGGTTGCTTGCCACAAGGCTGAGTCTAGGAGTTTTATGGACTTGAAATGGGGAAGTGCATGCTGATTGGTCTGTGGATGTGCTTGAAAAAGCACCATTCAGAAATAGGCACAAAAGCGTAGAGGATAAATTGGGGAAGGGTAGGTATATGTAAAATAGGTAAAGGATAAGGACCAATCTGGAGACAGCATGCCAAATGGGAATGGGAGTTCTCAATCTGGCCCACGGATTTATCCAGAGCTCACAGCTTGGGTTTCAGGCTTAGATTATCCTTTGCTCGAAGGTTGAATTTCACTGGGGACCTAGCCCTGTCTGCCTAAGAAATTACCTGCCTCCTGTCGCTATCACCAGTAGGGCTCTAATAAACTCTTCCCATTTTGTCTCCCATGGCCATGTCTCCTTTTGAAACCAGCTTTGCAAAAGTCACAGCTGAGGAAATTATGGCAGTGAGATAAACTGACATGGCTGACTCCATCTTGTCTCTAGCATCACAGGTTGGTTGTGTTTTCTCAATCCTGGGCATGGGCTAAGCTAACTTTGAAACAAATTTAGTTTATAGTTTAAATAATAGTCCTTCCCCAAAACTAAACTGTTCTTGTAAAACTAATTAAAGGCCACCAAGTCAGGATGAGAGGGGCTTAGGTTCTAAATAACCACCAGCCTTTATTCTGGAGGTCATAAGATTTTCAACTTCTCCCAATTACTCTTGAAGATAACATCACTTTTGAAGAACCTAAGACTGGCCTTTTGAGATATCTTTTCAAGATTTTGCATTTCTGACAACCAGATGGCCCCACCTGGACCTGCCAACCAGTCCTGTGGCCCCCACCCAGGGAACTAACTCAGCACAAGAGGACAGCTTCGACTCCCTATGATTTCATCTTCTAGCAAAACAATCAGCACTCTCGACTCACTAGCCCCATACCCACTAAATTAACCTTAAAAACTCCAGTCCCCAAATTCTCAGGGAGACTAATTTGAATAATAATAAAACTCAAGTCTCCTGTACAGTCAGCTCTGCATGAATTAAACTCTTTCTCTATGACAATTCCCTTGTCTTGATAAATTGGCTCTCTCTAGGCAGTTGATAAGGAGAACTTATTGGGCAGTTACACTTTCCTCCTTCTAGACACACCTTACACAAACTGTTTCTGTGCCTTAGTTCATGACATTTCCCATAGGTAGAATATTCCCCTCCTCTCCCTCTTCTATCTACCCTATTCTTAGATCCTGCTGGAGCTCAGATCCGCTCTCCTATGGAAGGTCTTTCGTGGCCACACTACCCAGTTGCCTCTGTACTCCACAGTACACTAGTGCCTACCATTCATCCATGCATTGCTGAATCAGAGAAGGTCCCTGATGTAGGAGTTTACAGCACAGTGAGAAGAGAGGAGACAGAAAGACCACAACAATCCATCTGCAGCATCAGAAATTCCTTCCAACGAAGAAAGCTATTTTTGTTTGTGTGTGTGTGTGTGTGGGTTTTCTTGCCTTGTATTTTGTGGAAAAGGTAAATAAATGACTCTAAGAAATACTATTTATTAATGATTTTCTTTTTAAAATCATACACATCACACTACTGGCATCTGGCACCTCTTTGTGTTTAGTTTTTCTGTGCAATATTGTATCACAGAGGAGCCAGCAACTTTTGTTTTTCCTTGCAACATCCATGAAACTTTTGCTATTCTGTAGGATGCCTATGTGACAGAGATCACTGATTTGATTTAAAAAAAAAAAAAAAAATAGGAAGGAAGGTAGGGAAAGGATAAAACCTAAACTCCTTAGTATGTCTCACCAAGTCTTTCTGAGCTGTCCTTCTTCACTTGGCCAGTCCCACCTTCCCACACTCCCACGTGCCCTCTTCATTCCTGGCATATGCCACCCACAGGGCAGAAGATTCTGTGTGCTTTCATTCTTCTCTGTTCCCATTTCCTCCTTTACCTGTGGTCCCCAGCTCCAAATGTCTCCATGGTTAGCCCATAACCCAGCTCCCACTCCATCCAACTGTGGAAACTCTCATTCAGTGCTGCCAGTGAAATGTAATTGACAACACACCATGTGTATTAGTTTCCTAGGATTGCTGTAACAAATGACCACAAACATGATGGCTGAAAACAACAGACACTTATTCTCTCACAGTTCAGGAGGCCAGAAGTCAGAAAACAGGGCGTCCTGAGGGTCTGTACCTTCCGGAGGCTTCAAGGGAGAATCTGCTCCCTGCATCTCCCCTGTGGTGGTGGCCAGCAATCCTCAGCTTGCAACTACATCACTCCAACCCCTGCCTCTGTCTTCACATGGCCTTCTTATGAGGACCACGGTGGTTGGACTTAGGGCCCACCCTAGTCTAGGGTGACCCTATCTAACAAATTACACCTGCAACAACCCTATTTCCAAATAAGGTCACATTCTGATGTTCTGGGTGGACATGAATTTAGGATGGCACTATTCAACCAAGTACTCTACCATAGACTCTACCATACTCTAGAAATAAATCACTGTTGTTGTTGCTTCAAGTGCTTACAGTGTAGCGTATGTACCTCATGTGTAGCTCTTTCATAATGCTAACCACAGATGTTTGCATTCATCTATCTATTAATTTGTCCCCAACACGGGCAGAGACCACCTCCTCTTTCTTTTTGTTTTTTCAGCTCCTTGTGCAGGGCCTGCCACTCAACTGACTTCCTAAGTAAATTGCCAACTGAAAATGCAGGAAAGCCATTTACAAGGTCTGGGGCCCTAAGGACCAGTTCTCCCAAAATCCCTGCCTGTGGACAGTCAGTTTTGCTCACCAGAAAAGCCTTGCAGCCCAGGGGGTCTCTATGCAAGTATTAGTTCTGGATCTGAAATCGAGGGTTGCTTTGTGCCAGGCAGGCTCATTTTGAGATCTGAGATTCAAGGCCCCATGCCAGATGTGAAAACAACACCACAAAATCACATCTCTGGCCACTGCCCACTTCTAAAGCTTAGGGTAGCAGAGAACATCAGGTACAACCAGGATATCACATTCTCTCTATTTGGGTGACATATTTCTGGAAACCCTGAAAGCAAACCAACCCCAACTCAATAAGGGTAGTCACAATGCCAGACTCACAACTAATTTGCAGGATATTTTAAAACATGTAATTATGGGTTATTGATAAGGAGGTGCCAGGAAGAAGGTAAGACCATGGTTTTGCCCAAACCAGGAGCCAGCTCCTGTGCTGCATACCCACTGCAGCCTGGACATATGTGGCCCTCCAGGCATCTTCTTTGGAGGGAATGCATGTCTTTTTTTCAGCATAAGGATTTGGACTTCTTTTTAAATAGGAATGTGTTGTTCTTCAAACAAAAATTACACAACTCAAAGAATATGTGTGGCTTTTAGGGAGCGGCAACAGCTGAGAAACCTACACTGGTTCTGGAGGAAATTCAATACGGGCCAACCTAATCGCCATGACGGAGAATTTGGAATGAGTCTGAAATGCCTTCGCATTATTGGACAAACAGCTCTCCCTCCTTCCTAAGCAGGCTGGGGCGTTCCTGGTAAAAGCCCTTTGATAAGAAGAAGCAGCTCCTGGGAGGCGAGCCACCCACCACTTTCTTAGGCACTATTGTCCTGAGCTGGGGGATTGTGACGTGGGCTCCCGGTCTACACAATGCCGCACCTCCTGCAATGGGCCATTCATCGGCCCCAAGGTTCCCTGATGGGAGGGAGCCCATTGACCCCGGGATAATAGATGAAAGTGTTTTCTCACTTGCCTTCCCCTCCTGACCCCTTGCCACCATTTTTCATGCACTGTCTCCTCTTCAGCCAGACGGAGGAATTCTTCCTCTGATGATGAAGGCCCAATGACCCTCTCCCGCATCCCGTAAGCTGGCTGCTTGCGGAGGATTGCCCAAAGGGGTCCCTGCATAATGCAACTAAACCAAGCAAGGGTCACTTCCTTTCCACCCCCGCTTCTACGTGTGCACACATCAACTCACACCCCAAAGCACAGGAGCAGTGCTTGTAAAAAATTCAAATTAGTGCATTTATTCATTTGCTTGTTTGTTTGCTTGTCCAGTGTGTTTGACCTCTTGGTGAATCCACCCAAGACAAAATGAGTTCCCAATTCAATGCCCAAAGTCTTCCCCATCCCCACTGTCTTCTCAAAAGGGCCAGGTCACCAAGCACATGGGGGCAGCAGAGCAAGTTGCAAAGTCTATCCAGTGGATGGCACAACTGCAAGGACCATGGATCATCCAGCAAAGCCCAGGTACTCAGTGGAGAGCCACCTGGGAGATGGGACTGACCAAGGCCACTGACCAGTTAGTGGCTCCCCTGCAACCAGCACCCAGCTCCCCAGCTCCATGCCAGGGCTCCGACCCCTTCAAAATGCCTCCAGAGGAGGTACATTCTCATTAGCAGTGACAAGCAGACAACAATCTGGCCTTGACAAGCGTGTTTTATTATGTCTGAAAATCTATGAACTGCCATATATTTCTTTTTGCAGCCCATAAGTGGCAGGTAATGGTACTTGGAAAGGAGCAAGCTGATCAGAACTCAGCTGAGGGAAAGGGAAAGATGGCCAGGCCTGGGGTCTGGGGTGACTTTGGGTTCTTGAGCCGCTGAAGGATCCTGGTGTGAGAAGGTGGCCCTCTGTGTGCCTCTTGCTGCTTCTTCACCTCGTGTGCATGGGCTGCAGGTGGGGGGATGGCCAGAGGCAGGGCTGGGGACCCTGATGCTTGACTATCTGGGAGTGCTCAGGGACCTGCAGTCTGTGTGTAGGGTCTCAGCACCAAGGCCAAGCTCGGGGCAGACCCTCACCATCTTAGAGAGGGACTGTGGAGGACCAGCATCGGGAGCGCACCCCGGCTCCCAGGGATGATTCCACAGAGAAGTTAATGGACCTTGGGCATCGGGCCTCTGATAGCGTGGGGTCTTTCCAAGGCCCTGTGTCAGGCAGCATTCTTCTGTGAAACAGATGCAACAAGATGCGTGTGCGTGCAGAGAAAAAGAGAGAGAGAGACAGAGAGAAAAAGAGAGAGAGAGATTATCAGAGAGTGAGGGAGAAAAAGAGAGATGGAGAGAGAGGCAGAGAAACAGAGAGAGAGACACACACAGAGCACAGAGAGAGATGACCATACAGAAAGACAGAGATGGAGAGAGGGAGAGAGATAAAGATGGAGAGAGAAAGAGAGACAGAGACACAGAGAGAAAGAGAAGGAGGCAGAGGGACAGAGAAAAAGAGACAGACAGGGAGAAAGAGAGAGACATAGAGAAAAAGAGACAGACAGAAAGAGATTTTAAGCAACTGGCCCATATGACTGTGGAGGCTTGGGAGTACAAACTCCGCAGGGTGTGGCAGCAGGCTGGAGACCCACAGAAGAGTTGCAGTTCAAGTCTGAAGGCTGCCTGCTGGCAGAGCTTCTTCCTCCTCGGGAGTGGCCAGGCCTTCAGCTAATTGGGTGAGGTCCACCCACATTATGGAGGGCAATCTGCATTACTCAGAGTTCACCAATTTAAATGTTAATCTCATTCACAAAACACCTTCACAGGAAAAGCCAGAATAATGGTTGACCAAATATCTGGGCACTGTGGCCCAGCCAAGTTGACACATACAATTAACCAGCACAGCTCTTACCTAGTTGGGCATTTATAAATTATGTTCTACCTTTTTTTTTCTTTTTTAAGAAAAAACTCCCCAAATGCAAAAGCTTCAGGCCCTACAAAGCCTCTTCACACAGCAATGTCCAGGCCTTGCTAGGGTTAGAATCCAAGGCCCCTGCCTGCCTTGGATGCTCTGCCCAGGCCTTCACAGGAGGATCCCAGAGCTTCAGGGACCAGATATGGAGAGGGATGCCCAGAAACAGCCTGGCTGCTCGGGAGGGGCTGAATGCTTATGCCCCTACTCCCCCAAGATAGCCATTGCCATGAGAAAATCCACTTTCCTGCAAGGGAAATTGTGTGAGAATTCCTATCATCTCCCAGAATATTTCTAATGAACAATCTGAAGCCCAGAGAGGCAGGCTGAGGGTAGAATAATCCAAGGCTGTTTAGCCATCCAGGTTCTTACCAACTTAGAGATGCTGTCAGATCTCGTTGTTAGAAGGGAAGTCCCTGGGCAAGCAGGGGCAAGTGCAGCAGGCCTGATGTGACACCTGTGCCGTGGAGCTGCCAGCCAGTGCCTGGCGAGGGCAACCTTTGCTCCAGGGATCCTGTAAGGACAGACACACCCACAGAAGGAGCTGCCTGGTGAGCCAGCGTCTGAGGTGGGAGTGCACTGGCTGGTCTGCCTCTTGGGGACGGAGCGAGTGAAGGTATTTCAGCGAGTGGCACCTGGAAAGACTTGTGTGGGCACACTTCCAACACCCTGCAAGGCCCACAGAGACTTTTCCATGCTACTCTGGGCCCAAAGAGGAAAAGTGACCTCACCCTGATCAGAGCTGGCGGCTGGGGCATACATTGGTTGCTTACTCGATAGTCATTCCCTGCCAATGCCTTGCTGACAGGAGCCCAACTCCATTCAGTGTTCACAGGAAGAGGGTCCTGGCCCAGGGCCAAATGACAATTGGTCTAATCCCTCACAGTGAGCCCATCCTTCTTTGCCAGTGATTGGTTTGGGGCTGGGCACGAGACTCGGTTCTAGTCAGTATGACGTAAGTTTCCCTGGGGAACTCTGGCCGAGGGTTTCAGGAACACATCCTACCCCGGTGATAGATGAGATGATTGTTCAGAGAGTATTGATGCTCCTATTCCCCTCCCCTCCCCTCAGGGTATGATGCACATGCCAGCCCACCATCATGTCCTATTGGCCAAGCAAGGCATCTGCCCAGACATGGGCAGATGCCTTGCTTGGCCAATAGCATGTGAGCAGACATGAAACAGACTTTCGATGTTCTCACAGGCTTGGTCTTACCATTTGCTCCCTGAATCTGTCATGCAATCAACATGCTGGGTTGCTGGTGAGTACAAGAAAATTAGGATGACTGCGGAACAGACCTGAACCTACCTGAAGCCTCAGAGACGAGCTCAGCCTCGCCTCAGCCTGAAGCAGAACAGTCCTGGCTGACCCACAGGTAGACTGCAGAGAAAGAAAAATAAATGGTCTGTTGCATTTGTTATAGGTCACTGAGTTTGGGGTGGTTTGTTACTCAGTGCTTTCATGACAGCAGCTCACTGATACACACCCTCCTGCTGTTCAGTGAAGCTGTGTGGGTGTGGAGCTTGAAGCTACGCAGCCATCTCCCAACCACACTGGAAAGCCAGCGGAATCACAGAGAAGTAACCACGGAGATGCTAAACTGACATCCCTAGAGGTCAGGTTCCATCTCTGCAGAGTGACATCTCAAATTTGCCAACACAGAGACGGCCTCTTTGCCTCGTGGAGGAAATGTTTTCCCCTGTTTCTGTCCACGGGTGCCACTGCCTTCCTATCACCAACCTCCTCGACATGTGGCCTCTCATGAATTCTAAAAGCCTCTTTAAAGTGTGCATTCATTTGTCTGTCATTTATTCACTGGGTCTTTGCTGAACTGGGCTTTTAGAGCAATTAAGCACAGTCTCTTCCCTCTAGGGGTGTTCTTTTGGGGAACAATGGTGGTTTTGCTGTGGCTGAAGCAAGTCTCTGGCACGGCCTGAGGGAAGGAGGCATCCAGATGAGGCAGAGCTGTCCCTGGAGTTAGGCTGTGGAGGGCCGGGAAAGTCAGGCCCAGGGGATAAGGCCAGAGCTGATGGGCAGTGAGAGGCTGTCAGAGGCTGAGTCAAGGGGAAGGGTCTCTCTAGCCATGAAAGTGGTTTCTGTATGTGACCAGGACTGAGTGACAGTGTGAAGAAAATGTGGCTGGGTGGGGTGAGAGAGAGAGATCCTAATATTGCATAATACTGCATATTTTTCTCTGGGTCACATAGTTATCCAGCAATATAAATAATCCACTATACCCAACAAACAACAAAACACCTCATCCAACATGCTTTATAAAGCTGCCTCTAGAAACTCCATAAATGTATGAGGCAGAACTCTGCAGATAGATGAAAACCACGCCCTGCCAGAAGATGAGTGAGCTGAACATTCATTGAACAACCCTCTCATGATGTCCTAGAGAGGTGAGACAAGTGTAAAAGAACATCCAGCTTCACAGACTCATGACCAGATAGAGGAAATCAATATGCTCCCTCTGCTATCATAGAATCACAGAATGCTGTAGACTGAAGGGCAGAAACCATAGACATTTAGCCCCTACGGTTCTGAAGGCTGCGGGGATGGTGGCGGGGGCAGGGAGGGAGGGAGATATCTTGCACCTCTTTCTCTTTTTATAAGGCCATTAGTCCCATCATGACCTAATCTAACCCTAATTTCTTCCAAAGGCCCCACCTCCAAATACTATTACACAGAGGTTTAGGGCTTCAACATGAATTCTGAGGGGGCACATTCAGTCCATAGCATGAGGCCCACCAGAAACAGCTGGGACCTGCCCAAAGCCACAGGAAGCTGTTGGCTACTCGACCATCTCCCAGTTCCCAACGTGGTGGAGTTTGACATGTACTTCAACACAAGGTTTCTCAATCTCAGCGCGATTGACTTTTGGGCCAGATCCTTCCATGCCGTGCGGGCTGCCCTGTGCATTTTAGGAGGTACAGCAGCATCCCTGGCCTCCATCCATGAGACACTAGTAGCACCACCCTCACCACCAAGTCACGATGATCAAAAATGTCCCCTGACATTGATAAATGTTTCCAGGGGGCAAAATTACCCTCAGTTGAGAACTACTGGACTAACTTCTGGATTAAATTCAAGGAAAACTCAATTGAACTGCTTGATAGCAGTTCAAGACTCAAGCCAAATGTGGTCTTTTTTTCTGTACAGCTTCCCCCAACTCTCTTTCCCAGGTCAGAGTAGTTGACCTTATATCTTACGACCTCCTCTGACCTTATGTCCATCATAGATAGGATTGATCCTGTCACATCCTTACAATTCTTTAGTGTTTTATGTGCCACAATAAACTGTAGGCTCTTTGAGGACAGGATTGTGATTTTTTTTTTTTTTTTGAGATGGAGTCTGGCTCTGTCACCTAGGCTGGTGTACAGTGGTGCAATCTCTGCTCACTGCAACCTCTGCCTCCCAGGTTCAAGCGATTCTTCTGACTCAGCCTCCCAAGTAGCTGGGATTACAGGTGTGTGCCACCACGCCTGGCTAATTTTTGTACTTTTGGTAGAGATGAGATTTCACCCTGTTGGCCAGGCTGGTCTTGAACTCCTGACCTCAAGTGATCCACCCGCCTCGGCTTCCCAAAGTGCTGGGATTACAGGCATGAACCACCACACCTAGCTGTGAATTATTTCTTTCTTTATTTTATTTTATTTTTTTTTTGGTATCATAATATTTATTCTTATATGTATCGAAACTCATACTGAACAATGTGCTCTGGGTTGCAAAACAGGGTTTATTTCTCGAACTTATCTGTAAGTCTGGTTGTGGATTATTTCTCTTTGGAATCCTCAGTGCATGGAACAGCACCTGGAACACGAGGAAGGTGTGAGCGGGTGGATTCATTCCACACCCTCAAGACCCTCCTAGCCTGGACACAGTATGTTTTCATTTCATGCCGCCTGACCCCATAGTCTCCCAAAGGCCCGACCCACCAGCCATCCCTGAAGGCCTACCATTCACCAAATATGCCTTGGCCTTGCCCAGTCTACATCTTGCTAGTACCTTCCTTTTCTTGAAATTTCCTTCATACTCACTTCACCCTGTCCAATTCCTAAAATCCTCACATTCTCCAAGGCCCATCTCCAGTGCCTCTTCTCCTAGGAAGAATTTTCCAAACCTTCTAATTAAAAATAATCAACCATCCATGCCTCCCCCATTACCCCAGCCCCTGCTCTCAAAGTGCTTTTTAATTCTGTTATAACCATTTCCGGATACATTCTGTGTCCCTTACTAGACAGCGAACTCCCCAAAGGCAAGAACTGTCATGATCTATTTCCATATCTTCCACGGAGCCTAGCAGAGGCCTGGCACACAACAAACATCACTCAAATCTAATTCAGGTCTCCGAGAGAGGCCAGGCCAGCGGGCGATGGTAAACGTGTGCCTGACTGATTCCTCCTTCAGTGCCTTCAAGAGAAAGATAGTCATTACTGGAAAACATGGTTCATAATACTGTTTGCAAAAGGAAACTGCCCTACAAAATCATTATTCTTGATGAAAAAATGGGTCTGTTTTTTTTCTTGAGAATAGATATCAATCCTAAGTGAAGGATTTAGCCAGAAGGTGAGAGGGAGTCCTCTGAGGCCTGTTAGACCAACACTGGGGCCACACAAGACTACATATGTCCAAGGAGACACAATCTTCAGTTCTTAAGAATTTAAAGTCAAGTGTTGCAGTCTCTTCTGACAGCAAGCTCATTCCGGCCTTCTGGAAAACAAATGCTGGCAATCACATCCATCGTTAATAATTCATAATTAGAAATATTATTAATTGGGGCTGTTATTTCAGTAGCTCTTCTAAAGGAGAAATGCCTAAGTGTCTGGATTTTGAGGTAATTATTGGTACTGACTATTACACTAGACTTTAGAAATGATAAAGCATTCACTACCTAGCAACTTCCCTGACTCCCTCTTACAGCCATATGAGACAGGCAGACAGAATGGGGAGGCCCTCAACAAGTGCCCAGTGTCACTCAATGGCTGGCTGAGACTCTGCCACCATCCCTGTGTGGGTGAGCTGCTCCCAGCCCTCCCTACGAGGGAGGGGGAAAGAGGAGGCCTATTCACACCACAGCCTTGATGGCAGCTGCTGGAAAGGTGGGCTGAGTACTCGGTGAGAATAAGCCCAGGAGGGACAAAGCCTGCCCTTCTTTCTTTAGACAAATGAGCTCCAGAAAGTCCTGAGGCTACAGGAGGAAAGTCACTGGAACCAAGAGATCAGCAGCAAGTTTTATGGGGCTTGGAGGCCACTCATCTCCAGCAGGGTGACTGGCTGGGCCCGGAAGGAAGCAGCCGTTCCAGTAGCAGCCGTGGCCAGTCTGCAGGGCCTCAGGAGTCTACTGCTCATGAGTGGGGAAGTGGTGGGGGCGACAGGGAGATAACGGGGACCCCAGAGCCAGATGCGGCCTGGACACAGCTGCAGGTTGGCCTTGGACAGCTGAGCAGGTTATGCACTGAACAAGGGGCCCTGGCAGCATGGGAAGGGGTAACCCGAGCCTTGGTTTCTCACTGGCAAAAAAATGTGTAATGTGAACCAGTGGAGGCCCTGGCATGGGTGGGGTAGCTGATGCACCCACACAGTGAGGTGTCCCGGGTTCCTGCCCTCCCACACGCACAAACAAACCTCTCCCTTAGTGACTCAGGTGCCAAAAATGATAATTTGGCCCTCTTTTTGGAGTAAGGCATGAAGCCCCTTATTAAAATGCAAAAGCCATTGTCAGTCATTACCACCTTATGGATTAACCAGCGAAGAACAGAGAAGGGTGGCTGGGCACCGGCAGGGCTGTGAGGAGAAAGGAGTAGTGGGAAAGCCAGCTCCAGAAAGAGGATAGAGGTGAACGGGCATCGCTCATTTGTGCCACTCCTACAACCCAGAAGGTACATAACATACATCCGCTCTTCATTCTCACAGCAACCCTCAGGGAAGGCTCTGTTACACCGTTTGATGGAAGTTCAGAAAGACCAAGGTCGCCCAGCGAATACAGGGCAGAATCCACTTCCTACTCAGATTGTTCAGATCCAAGCTCCATGACCTCTGCACTGTGCTGTTTCCCGGCAGGGCCTCTGCGTCAGAGGCGATGGGGTTGAAAGGCACAAGGCTGATAACCATGTTTATTAGGGTATTCCTGGGGCAGCCCATAGGTGACAAGGACTCTGGCTGGGGATAGCCTGATGCTGTAGACACCATTCAGATCCCTGTTTCCCCAGGTGACAGAACAGAATTTAAGCCACACACCCAAGATCTCCCCAGCACGCAGGTGGTGGAATGGGGATTTGAACCCATGGTGTGAATCAACAATTATCTCAACATTGAAAAGTTTAATTAAAAAATAAACAAAGGCTGGGTGCAGTGGCTCACACCTGTAATCCCAGCACTTTGGGAAGCTGAGGCGGGCAGGTCATGAGGTCAGGAGATCAAGACCATCCTGGCTAACACGGTGAAACCCCATTTCTACTAAAAATACAAAAAATTAGCCTGGCATGGTGGCACACACCTGTAGTCCCAGTTATTTGGGAGGCTGAGGCAGGAGAATCGTTTGAACCCAGGAGGCGGAGGTTGCAGTGAGCGAAGATCGCACCACTGCACTCCAGCCTAGGCGACAGAGTGAGACTCCACCTCAAAAAAAATAAAATAAAATAAACAAAGTACAACTGCACCCTTTAAAATCAAGGCCTCACTCTGACCAGCCCCCTTGCTAAATCCATACCCCGGAATGACAGAAGGGACCCAATGCACAGTAATCTGTGCAGCTCAGATTCCATCCTTCCTTCACTCCACAAATACTTTTTGAGCATTTCCTGTGTGCCAAGGTATTTTCTAGTGAAACAAAATCCTACAAATGGCAGATCAGAAGGCTGGGTGGGAGGGACCGTTTATGAATTAAGGACAATCAGCCCTGGGTGTAACTGGCAGTCTCCACCACCTACCAGGGGAAGGGCAGAGGGCAGCTGGGAAGAAGAGGGGCTATGCAGTCAAGCAGGCCTGCGGAGAGCATGTCAGTGTGGTTCCTTACTTCCCGTGTGTTCTCTTGTGCGTGTTCCTTCATTTCTTCAAGTCTCAGTTCCCTCATCTGCAAAACACGGACCACAGTTCTGGCACACAAGGTGTTATGGGGATCCCATCAGATGCCCGCCTGTGTGTACATGGGCGAGTGGGAGTAGGCACAAATGTAAGATGTCATCACTGTTAGGATCCCACAGGAGAACTCCAACTGGGGCCCAGGGCAGTCTCTGGCACCCCCCAACACATCCTCTTCAGAAGGATGCCAGGTCAATGCTTCTGAAAGAAACACCTGACCCTTCAGTGGCTGCCCTTCCAGACTCTTTGCACAATGCCTAAGGCCCTTCAACTGCTCACTATTCCCAGATGCACCATACTTTCTTTGCACATCTCAGCCTTGGCTGTTTCTCCAACAGTCTCTTCTTCAGAAAGCCTTTTCTCATCCTGAATCTTGGTTGGGGCCACCCCATTCTGTGCCTCCATACTTCCTGAGTGTATCGTGTTATGCTGTCATTGTAGGTTTCATCTCTTGTCCCCTGGACTCTATATGGGCTCCATGAGGAAAGCAGCCATATGCTGTCCATTATTTGTACCCTCGGGGCCAAAAGTTGTGCTAGGCAGTGGGAGATGCAGGTAAGTCCAGTGAAGAGGGCACTTTCATTCTCTGTTCTGTACAACTTTTAAAGCAACATTGACTTTGGTAGTTGGTTTATTTTTTTTTTTAGAGTTGGGATCTTGCTCTGTCACCCAGACTGGAGTGCAGTGGCGTAATCATGGCTCCCTGAAGCCTCTAATTCCTGGGCTCAAGTGATTCTTTCACCTCAGCCTCCAGAGTAGCTGGGATTCCAGGCCCCCACCATTCCCATGGCCAGCCTGTAGTTCTTATGTCAACGTCATAAAATTGGGGGAACATTTTCAATGTTCCAATAGCATCTGTAAAATCCACGATGAGGTCCTTTCTATTCCCTGTATTTCAGCTTCCTGATTTGTAATCACGGTGGCTTCATCTCAAAGCCTCCTCTAGCCAGACATTCTGGGATTCTGGGATCTCATGAGAGGCCAAAACTTTGGCCTTCAAAGAAGTCAAAGTGTTTTGAAGGCCAGGGTGGTTGATTGCGCGCTCTCTGCCTAGAGGAGAACTGAGCAGCCCCACCCCCTACCACATGCCTTGCAGAGCCCCTTCGTGAGTAATATCCACCCCACCCACACCCACATCAGGCTTGGTCACATGACCTGCTTTGCCAGTGGAACATGAGCAGAAGTGATGCTATCACATCTAACAGAGGTTGCGAGATTCACTGCCTGGTTTGGCCATTTCTTTGTTTTCCCCTCTGCCACAAAATCAAGATCAGGGGCTATACTTTCAGCCTCAGAATGAGAAAGTACTGGATCAGAGCCTCAGCTGACTTGATGACCTAAAAAACAATAATAAAAAAATTGTTTTCATTTTGTATTTATTTATTTATTTTACAGACAGGGTCTCACACTGTTACCCAGGCTACATTGCAGTGGCAAGGTCAGAGCTCACTGCAACCTCAAACTCCTGGGCTTAAGTGATCCTCTTGCCTTAACCTCCCAAAGAATAGCTGGGACTACAGGCATGTAGCATCATGCCCAGCTAGTGTTTTCTCTTATTGTTTGTAGAGGCAGGGGTCTCCTTATGTTCCCTAGGCTGGTCTTGAACTCCTGGCTTCAAGAGATCTCCCTCCTCAGCCTCTCAAAGCTCTCAGATTTCAGGCATGAGCCCCTGCACCCTGCATTTTTTTTTATAGTCCACTGACATTTTGATGGTATTTGTTACTAACGATAGTCTAACAAAAGCTGACTGATACAGCTTTAATTTGCATTGCTTAAAGAAAATACCACTGGTACTAAAATGAAATGTAATCATAGTTTGAACCTTTAGGTTCACGTCAAGGTTGGGATATAATAATGACTAAGCAAATCCTCCAATCATTCCAAGGCTTTGTGTCATGTGATGCTCAGCACTGTGGATACAGATATGAAAAGTCTCCCTGCCCTCTCTCATGTGTCTCTCAGTGTGAGTTATGGCTAATCATTTGATCAATTTATTCCATAATTTTTTTTTTGAGATGGAGTTTCGTTTTTGTTGCCCAGGCTGGAATGCAGTGGCACAATCTCAGCTCACTGCAATCTCCACCTCCTGGGTTCAAGTGATTCTTCTGTGTCAGCCTCCCAAGTAGCTGGGATTACAGGCACCCACCACCACGGCAGGCTAATTTTTGTATTTTTAGTAGAGACGGGGTTTCACCATATTGGTCAGGCTGATCTCAAACTCCTGACCTCAGGTGATCCACCTGCCTCAGCCTCCCAAAGTTATGGGATTACAGGCGTGAGCCACCGTGAGTGGCCTATTCCATAAATATTTATTGAGCATATACTACAGGCTTAACATTGTTTTAGGTGCTAGGGCTGCAGCAGTGAACAAGGCGAAGTGTCTGCCCCATTGGAACTTATGAGTTGGGGATGCTTACACTCAAGGAGGCATATTTAGGAGGTCACGATCACTAAGTACTGTCTAAGGTCTAAGCCAAAAATTATTTTCCCCCCACTTCCCTGAAGGAAATAAGGAAACATCTCAAAAGTTGATAACATTGTTCCAGATTGAGATTGCAGCTGCATACCAGCTAGAGGGAGGTTCTCTGCTTCCCTTCGCAATCCAGGAGGTCTATCAACAACCCCTCCCTTATGTGCTGCATTGCAGAGTTTACTAATTGCTTTTGCCTTCATCACGTCTTTTAATTCCTTCAACACTCTGCAGGTAGACAAGTTAGGATTTTTCATCCCCATTCTACAGAATAGGAAATTGAGGCTGAGAGAGGGAAAGGAATAGTTCAAGTTGAAACAGCCAATTAGAGCTGGTGCCCTAATTCTCAGTACAGTATCCTTTTGCACTATCTTTCTGACTGCTCAAATATTTTCATAAGAATGTGATATGTGTTTATGAGCAGTTTTCATTGACATATAAAGGATTTTAGAGGAATTTCTAAAGCAAATTGTTCTTCATTTTTCTGTTCCGTGTATAATAAGTCTCTCTAGCTACAGTGTAATAATCAACATAAGATTGAGGAAGAAACCTCGAGTCAAGCCAAAGTGAGTTTGGGTCCATTTCCCCCTGCATAGAAACTGAATCCCAAGCTCAAGGTGAGAGAATTCATATCTACCCAGAGGCAGTAGAATGAACACAGGCTTTTGCCAGGCATGGTGGCTCATGCCTGTAATCTCAGCACTTCGGGAGGCCGAGGCAAGTGGATCTCTTGAGGTCAGGAGTTCGAGACCAGCCTAGCCAACATGGTGAAACCCCGCCTCTACAAAAGAATACAAAAATTAGCCAGGCATGGTGTCATGCACCTGTAGTCCCAGCTACTTGGGAGGTGGAGGTGGGAGAATGGCTTGAACCTGGGAGGCGGAGGTTGCAGTATGCAGAGATCACGCCACTGCCCTCCAGCCTGGGTGACAGAGTGAAACCCTGTCTCAAAAAGAAAAAAAAAAAAAGAATGGGCCAGGCGTGGTGGCTCATGTCTGTAATCCCAGCATTTTGGGAAGCAAAGGAGGGTGGATCACTGAGGTCAGGATTTCGAGGAGTTCAAGACCAGCCTGGCCAACATAGTGAAACGCTGTCTCTACTAAAAATACAAAAATTAGCCAGGCGTGGTGGTAGGTGTCTGTATTCCCAACTACTTGGGAGGCTGAGGCAGGAGAATCACTTGAACCCAGGAAGCAGAGGTTGCAGTGCACAGAGATCACACCACTGCACTCCAGCCTGGGTGACAGAGCGAAACTCCAACTCAAAAACAAAAAGAAAGAAAGAAAGAAAAAAGAATGAACACAGGCTATGGAGTAAAACAAACTTGGGCTGGAACTGTAGCTTCATTACTTAATAGCTGTGAGACCATGGGCAAGTCATCCTCCGCCCTGAGCCTCAGTTCTCTCCTCCTGTGAAATGGGAGTGGCAATACCTCTCCAGCAAGTGGTTATGAGATTTTCTGCGGGAAGTGCTGGTCCATAGCTAGCCCTCGCTAGATGCTCAGTGTTAACTTTGATTGCGTGGCTGCTATATTCAAGGTATCATGTCAGACTTTTTGTACATACTGTATCCTCTTCCTTATTTTTATGACACTGAAATAAAGCTATTGTCATTTTACAGATAAATGATACATTTTAGGGGTAAAGTGTCAAGCCTGCAACCTACCTTCAAATAGTTCAGAAAAAAATGTATACATACAGAAAGCACCCCCCGCCGACACACACACACACACAACGCATATAGAGGAAAAGTAAAACAAATACAGGAAGATGTTAATAATTGCTGGATCTAGATAAAGAGTATACAAGTGGCCAGGTGCAGTGGCTCACACCTGTAATCCCAGCATTTCGGGAGGCCAAGGTGGGCAAATCACCTGAGGTCAGGAGTTCAAGACCAGCCTGGCCAACATAGTGAAACCCTGTCTTTACTAAAAATACAAAAATTAGCCAGGTGTGGTGGCATGCGCCTGTAGTCCCAGCTACTTGGGAGGCTAAGGCAGGAGAATTGCTTGAACCTGGGAGGTGGAGGTTGCAGTGAGCAGAGATCACACCACTGCACTCCAGCCTGAGAGACAGAGCGAGACTGTCTAAAAAAAACCAAAAAGCATACAAGTACTCATGGTACTATTTTTTCAACTCCTATGTGGTATAACATTTGTCAATCTAAAAATTTGGTAGAAAAAAACTCCAATTTGAACAATAAACTATCTGGCCACCCTCCCCAGCTTTCTCGTTCCTTCTGAGCACTCTGCCCTCACACCGCCGTTCCCTCTGCCTGGAACACCCTTCCCGGCCTTGCTTAGCTGGGGAACTCCAGCCATCAGGACTCTGCTGCAAAGTCATTACTCTGGGGAGTCCTTCAGACCCGGGGCCTGACTTCCTCAGGTCTCAGAGCCCCTCTCCCTTGCTTGAGGTTCCCCTTGATCACACTGTAGCCTGCGGATAGATCCCGCACTTCTCTTTCTGGAGACTAACGTGCTGAGAGTGGGAGCTGCATTATTTCTATTCCTCATCCCCAGCCCAGGATGCAAAGTCATCCAAGGTTAAAAGAAAAATCTCACCTAAAATCAAATATGTTTTTCCAAAGCTTTCCAAGCCTGAGAAATGCCAGTGAAACATATTTTTCTGACCTGTCTCCAGCAGGCACTCAGAAGAGGCTGGTGAACAAGTGAATCAATGAACTCTACCTCTGATCCCAACTTCAAAACCTTTTCTATAAGCAATGGCATAGATTCAGATGCTTCATCCCAATCTCAGTTCTGGACAACAGGAGGTGAGCCAGTGGTGCCTGCCTGATAGAACCTGGGGTAGAGTGAAAGAGGCCAGGTCCTTGAACTGGCATTGGAACTGTCAGAGGTTCACATCCTCATTCTACCAACTACTAGTTTAATGCAAACTGGTGCCTGTCACTTAACCTTTCTGTAGCTCAGGTTTTCCCCTCACTGAAAAGGGAGAAGACACCTGGTTTTTTTTGTTTTGTTTTTGTTTTTTTTGAGACAGAGTCTCTCACTGTTGCCCAGGCTGGAGTGCAATGGCACGATCTCGGCTCACTGCAACCTCCACCTCCCAGGTTCACGTGATTCTCCTGCCTCAGCCTCCCAAGTAGCTGGGATTATAGGTGTCCACCACCACACCCAGCTAATTTTTTGTATTTTTAGTAGAGATGGGGTTTCACTACGTTGGCCAGACTGGTCTCGAACTCCTGACCTCATGATCCGCCCTCCTCGGCCTCCCAAAGTGCTGGGATTACAGGCGTGAGCCACCGCCCCCGGCCTGGCATCTTTTTATGTCACATAATATTATGAACTTAGGTACTGGGCATATAAAGTGGCACTCAGCACTCAGTGGCTTACTCCACAGAAGCCACTGGAACACTGTCCTTTGACCAAGTCACTGGGCTTTCCCAGGGGAACCCACATGGTCACGAGAAAGGAGTAAAGACAGGGCAAGGTCCATGCAGCCAAGTATGTATGTATGTGTGCATGTGTGTGCATGCCTGTGTAAGACTGTGTTTGGGAAGGTGAGGAGAGCCACTGTCTGCCCTCTGATGCACTCTGAAAGGTCACCTGGATCAACCCAGCCTGCCCTAACCACCTGAACCACCAGACAGGAGGCTTGCTGGCTCCCAACAGGATTATAAATCATTTATTTCATTATGAGTGTGAGGAGCCGCTGTGTGTTTGAAGTGGGATTTGAAGCAAAAGAAATGGGCAGATTAATGGAGCTTGAAGAAAGCTAAGTATCACTTGCCATTCCTGCCAGAGCACACAGGAGCTGGCAGCTGAGCAACATTTGAAAAACATGTCTCTCAATTAAAAGCATTTTCTCCTGGGTGCTTCATGCTGGAGCTCACTTGAATTAATTGCATGGACATCAGAATCCACCCACCAATGTTCTGTGTTGCAAAGTGGTTCATGAAGGTCCAGGTCTCTCCCAGTACAGAGCCAAGTGCTTTGAGTGGCATCAAAGTCCCGCCTCTCCATCCTGCATCTCCTGTAACTTCCACCCGCCACCAGTCACCAGGAGCCACCTGAACACACATGTCCCTCATCTCCTGTACATGCTGCTCCTTCTGCCTGGGGTGTTCTCATGCCCCTTCCCTGCCAGGAAAATTTCTGCTCATCCTCTGAGAAACAGTTCAGCAAATATCTATTCTGTGAAGCCTGACACCCCCTGAAGAGATAAGTAGATGCTCCCTCTCTCGTGGCACCTGTTATCAGAGCACTCAGCCACTCTGTTCACCACCCTGTCACCACCTAAATGCTGAGTTCTTTGAAAGCAGAGACTATATTATGTGTGTAGCCTGCAAGTAACTGCTAGTCAATCAATGTTTGTTGTCTAAGTGAATAAATAAAGATTTATGGTCTCAAGGCTGATGCGTTAAAGGAAAAATCTCACCTAAAAATAAATGCTTTTTTCCAAAGTTTTCAAAGCCTGAGGAATACTAGTGAAACATATTTCTCTGACCTCTCTCCCAAATCATTTCATCTTGAATTTCTGAGCACTGCCCTGCTGCTAAACACAGAGCACTGTGACATTGTTCTCACCTCCACCCTCCACATTCTGTCAGAATCCCAGACTGTCACAATGTCAGCCCTCTTCTTTCCCCAAGAAGGGGAAGATTCCTTCTCTCCCAACTGAATCAGGCCAGATCCGGGAAGGACCAGGAAGCCACACAGAGAATTTCATACATGATCCCAAGGAGAGAGAGAATGTTGGGGGCAGGGATCCAAACTAAGGAGATGAAGAATCATTTAAGGAACTGGGAGAGGGCTGGAGAAGAGGAGGGCTCTGAGCCAGCAAGACAATGGTCTTCAGATGTCAGAAGGGCTGATGTGTGGACCCAAAGCCAGACAAGCACTCAGGATGTGGTGTGTAGGTTGCTTCCTTGTGTCCCTGTTTGCAGGGTACAGGCCCCGTTTCTGCCTGTCCCCGAAACATAATTATTATGAGTCCCTGTTCACTCTCAGCAGTGTCCTGGTTTAAGCAGTAATCACACAGACCCTTTAGTTACAGGGACATCTTTTCCAGTTCAGTAAAGGCCGAGTTTTCTGGCAGACAGAGCTGTTCAAGGCCACAGGTCCCCAGCAGGAGGAACTGTGATGCATTCATCCTTATGGCCCAGTACTGAGCACAGGGTCTGGACCTCACATGGGGCCTGTGCCTGTTTGTCAACTGAATGAATGACTGATTGTCTTCAAAGGGAAGGGATTCCTCATCTCTGGGAGTATGTCCATGCAGGAGGCCTTGCAGGAGATTCGAGCATCACAAGGGAAGTACGACCAGAAGATCTCTCAGCCCTTTCTTTTCCACAGGGGTTATATGTGAGTCAAGTTCAGGGATCAAGAGCAAAGCACTGAGGAAGCAGACAGCTTGGGCTGGACCCCTGGTCCATCACCCACCAGATTTACAAGATCTGGTGAAATTGTAAGATCTTGAGCAAGTTACTTAAACTATCTGTGCCTCAGTTTCATGATCAGTAAAGTGGGTGTAAAAATATCTACCTCAAAGAATAGTCCAGAGAAGTCTTTAAAAATGTCATATATGTAAAATACCTGGCCCACAGTGAGCACTTTTTAAACTGTTTTCTATTATTTCTAGGACATTGAAGGTGATGGAGCTGATGCTGGACTTTGTCCTTTAAACCCTGGGGCGGTGACTGCCAGTGTTGGATCAGGGACTCACTTCTTCACAGTGGTGGCTGTGGAAGGTTAATCACATGGCGAACCCAGTAACCAAGATTAGGAGAAAGAAAATCCCTCCAACCGCCTTTGAATTTCAGTTATGTGTAAGTTTGCTTTGAACTGGTGATTCAACTCTTTCTCTTGGAGAGAGAACAAAGCAAGTGATGTGGAACTCAAATCTCATTTACAACTTAATTTTAAAACTGAGGAGATTTGCAACATTGGAGGGAGCAGGAAATAAACTTTAGAGTAATTGCTCGGTTGCCTTTTAAACATAAGGCATTGCATTGCTATTTTTATTGATGGTATTCAAATGAGAGGATGCCACAGCTGCGGAGGAACCTAGGAGATCATTGACAGTAACTCCTTCACTGAGTGAGGAAGAAATCACAGGCCAGAGACCGGAGGGGCGGTCTCCTGTCTCATAGTAAGTTAGAAACAAGACCAGAATCAGATGGTGCAGATCCTCGGGCTCCTAGACAGGTCTCGGTAGAAGCCCAAGAGTGAAGTAATAGCCTCAAACAGCAACCTTACTGCCCATCTGTAAGAGAAGAGGTGGAAGGATGATATTCTGAGCACTGTGTTTACAAAAACACAAAGACACCCTCAAGAAGTAGGCTGATCACCTTCCCCAAAGAGTTTATGACAGACAGGGAAGCAGCCTTTATGCATCACTTCTTAAAGTTTATGAGCCCAGGAAGCCATATATTGTTTTATGTTCATTATACAGGCAAGTAAATTGAGGCAGGAGGGCAACTTTTGTTTTCAACCACAGAAATCCCCAGTCCTAAAGCCCATGTTTGCAGGTGTTGGAACATTAGAATAGGAGAGCTATGTTGTCAGAAGCCCAAAACCAGCAGCCCAGATAAAACCCCTGGTTTTGCTACACCTAAGGGTGCTCTAAAGCACTAGTTTTTGTGTTTGTTTGTTTGTTTGTTTTGAGACAGGGTCTCACTCAGTGGCCCAGGCTGGAATACAGTGGCATGATCATGGCTCACTACAGCCTCTACCTCCTGGGCTCAAGCAATCCTCCCACCTCAGCCTCCCGAGTAGCTGGGACTACAGGCGAGTGCCGCCATGCCCGGCTAATTTTTTTTTTTGTAGAGGTGGGGGTCTCACTATGTTGCCCAGACTGGTCTTGAACTCCTGGGCTCAAGCTAAAGCATTACTTTCCAAGCTGTGCTCCTCATCAAAGGTGGAGCACGAGAGAGGTTGCCGTTACCCCACTTTTGTCTCCTATGGAAGCAGCCCTGTTCTTATTTGGTTTTTATTTGGGAAAGTCAGTATAAGATTTTACAGCAAAGCGCCCTGGTGTTTTAAAAAAGCATTGCCTGAGAGCATTCAGATGATTTATCCACAACATCTTTCGTTCCTGGCAGTCAACTGTGCCACGTCACGTTGGCGGATGTGCTTCTACGGAGTCTGGCTGCGGTGCTAAGCTGTCTTTCATAGGGCCACAGGGTCCCTTCCCTACAGCCCCCAGCCAGGTGCTCCAGCTGCATCTGCACCCACCAGAGGCAGCCAGGGGTCCAGGAGCACTGTAGAAACAGAGACCAACATGCAGGCCCAGGCGAGGCCCACCATGCTTCCTGATGTTCACCCTGGCTGGGCCCGATGGAATATGGTCTGTCCTTGGCTGGCGGCTCCTGCTCACCCAGCAGCAGCCAGGGCCATTTCGATTAACCCTTCACAGCCACTCCACTTTGGACATGCATGTGCTCTGTTCTTTTTGCTGATTTAATTAACGTAATATAATGGAAATAAAATAATTGAAGGGGCTGCCACTTCAGAAAAGATCATCGCTGGGCTGCTCGGGAAGCATTGTTGCACGGTCTCCAGGCAACGCTGAGGAGGCCCGAGAGGGGCTGGCGGTCCCCAAAGCAGCCAGCTGGCCAGGCCTCATCCCACAGCCCCAGCCCAGCCTGCCTAGGCCCAGATACATGGGCCACGGGCACAGGGATATTCCTTCAGACCCTTCCTTCTTCACCACTTTGTGCCTTTGAGTCCTGAACTGTAATTTCCCAGTTTGAAATAACTAAGAAAAATCAAACAGAGCAAAATAAACACATCGGAAATTCAATCATACACATTGCACCCCCCAAGACATTTTTAGTAATACTATTTGTAAGGCCGGGATCACACCGTGCTTTCTGGAAGTGATCCTTGAACCAAAAATTAGTATTACATGGAGATTGCTGTGAGTGGACCCTCTCAACATTTATTTTCAAGTGATAGTTTTTGAGCTGAAGGAGATCTGGGTTCTCCCCAAGGATCTGTCTCTAATTGTCAGGAGATCTCACACTGGTCTCTTTCCTCTCTGGGACTCAGTTTCACCCCCTCCATCACTGCCATGATGTTCAACAGGAGTGATGAGGGAGCGTGGCTGAGACTCAATTGTGGATTTTTTTCAGACTATGATGAGCAGGCAGCTATGCCAGGTTCTGATCCCCTCCTCATGGAGACCTGCGTCTGGCTGCAACCATTCTGCAGATGGAGCAGGATGCAGAGAGAGGCACCTCTTGACCGGATGCTCCGTAAGGGCAGCTGATCTGCAAGGGAAAGTTCCTTCCCTGTTCCCCAGGGCAATGGGAGGCCACAATGGAAGGCGGCAGGACAGCAGATTGACAAAGAGTCTGGCAACCTGCGGGGACACATTCCTGGCCCCCCTACACCGTCCTGTAGATCCTCCATGACAAATACCTTTCAAAGTGATCCAGCCCCAAGGAAAAGACCCTTATTTTAGGAATTTTCCAGGGGAGGAGCATTTTCATGCCAGTGACACCAAATTATAGGCATGCTATAAAATAAAATACTATATGGTTTTATCTGATTTTGCCAGGTTACAAAGCAGAAGCAAAAAACAAACCAAAACGCTCTGACCTTTCTTCATGAAAAACAGAGTTTTCAGGCACGTTGTTGTTATTGGTGGTGCTGCTGGTGGTGGCTTTTCCCCCTTAGTGATAGAAATGCAAGGGAATGAGTACTAATTGTTGAAGGTTTTAAATGTGCTGTACCTTGTTAATGTTTCTAACATATTGATTCCTATTAATTAATCTAGTGTAATGGAAAAGTCAATTACGCCATATTAACACCACTTGTTGTAGAAAAGACTAAATTACTGAATGCAGATGGAGAGCAGATGTGTTATGATAAACATTTAATACATTCCTCTGCCCGTCTCCAAAGTTAATCTGGCTTGAGGTATCCAAAACATGGCCCATCTCCCTATGGGGAAGAAGAAGCCAATTACAGGTTGGAGAGGAGTGTGGAGATCAGATTTTTATTTAAAAAAAAAAAAAGAAAAGGAAAATGAAGTTGAAAAAATAAGTTATCTCACTGGCTTGATTCTTCTCCTTCCACACTGCATCTGATTCTAAGGAACAAGCATGGAAACAGGAGGAGGGAGACTTGGGCTCTAGTTCTGATTCTGACACAAACTCACAGCTTATGTCTCCTCCCAGAACTCTCCATCAAGGTTTATTTATTTATTTATTTATTTATTTTGAGACAAGATCTCATTCTGTCACCACCCAGGCTACAGTGCAGTGGCGGGATCATGATTCACTGCAGCCTCAAACTCCTGGGTTCAGGTGATCCTCCCACCTCAGCCTCCCCAGTAGCTGGGACTACAGGCATGCACCACCACGCCCAGCTAATTTTTTTTTTTTTTTTTTTTTTTTTTTTTTTAGACAGAATTTTGCTCCTGTTGCCCAGGAGTACAATAGCGTGATTTCGGCTCACTGCAACATCCACCTCCCAGGTTCAAGCAATTCTCCTGCCTCAGCCTCCCAAGAAGCTGGGATTATAGGTGCCCACCACCTCACCCAGCTAATTTTTATATTTTTAGTAGAGACAGGGTTTCACTACATTGGCCAGGCTGGTCTTGAACTCCTGACTTCAGGTGATCTGCCCACCTCAGCCTCCCAAAGTGCTGGGACTACAGGCGTGAGCCACTGCTCCCAGCGCTAATTTTTAACTTTATTTTTTATAGAGACATGGTGTCCCCATGTTGCCCAGGCTGGTCTCGAACTCCTGGGCTCAAGCAATCCTCCTGCCTCAGCCTCCCAAAGTGCCGGGATTATGGGCGCAAGCCACTGCATTGGCCTTTGGTGAGATTTAAATCAAAATATCCATTCATTCTTTCAATAAACACTCTTGGCTGCATATAATGACTGAGGTTCAGATGTTATCCCTAACTCTTTCTCAAACATCTCAGCTGAGAATTTTTGCAGGCATGTTCAATGCAGTACAGCATGCCTTCCTTCTGAGCCTCCTGAATCATCTGAGGCTCCCACCATCTCCCCAGTGTCCAACACAGAAACCTGCAAGTCATCTTGGGCTTCCTTTTCCCTCCCTACATCCTTGGCTCCACCAACTTGAGGTTGTTAAGGTCTATTGAGCTACCATCTAGATATTTACATTATAACATCCATAAAATTAAAAAGCAAATAGGAAACTGAAAAAAAAAGTCAACAACTATAAAGGGTTAGCATGTTGAACATATTATACAAAGCCTTTTTCTAAATAAATAAGAAAAATTATCCAATAAAATTTGGGCAAAGGAAGAGAACCATTTGCAGAAGAAATACATAATAAGGTAAATAAATATCTGAAAATGTTTTCACTTCAAAAATCAAGGAAAGTCTAATTTTAACTAAATACTTTTTTTCCCCTCTCAAAATATCTACTTCTTTATAAAATCATCAGTCTCATTGATCATGAGGATACAATGAGACAGGCATTATAGTGTCCTGCCAAGTAGAGAACATGAAATGTGTGGAACATTTTGAGAAAGCAATTCAACAACAGGTATTAACAGCTTTAAAAGTGTCCATGTCTCTTTATCCAGGAATTTTCCTTCTAAAAATCCATTCTAGGAAAATAGAGATGCAAATTAAAGATATATGTATAGGGTATTTATTACCACATTATTTTTACTGCTAAAATGTGAAAACAGGTTAGGTACAGTGGCTCACTCCTGCAACCCCAGCACTTCGGGAGGCTGAGGCAGGCAGATCACTTGAGGTCAGGAGTTTGAGACCAGCCTAACCAACATGGCAAAATCCCATCTAATACAAAAATTAGCTGGGCATGCCTATAGTCCCAACTACTCAGGAGGCTGAGGCAGGAGAATCACTTGAACCCAGGAGGCAGAGGATGAAGTGGGCCGAGATCACACCACTGAACTCCAGCCTGGATGACAGAGTGAGACTCCATCTCAAAAAAAAAAAAAAAAAGGGAAAACAACTTAAATATCAAAAACTAGAAAAACAGTAAACACTCTTTGACACATCTGTTTTAGAGACAATTACACAGTCACAGAAATGTGCATGAAGGATTTTCAGATTGTGTGAAATGCTCACAAGGTCTTGGTGAATGGAAAAAACAGGGCTAGAAAGCCAAATACAGCTAGAGCCTCATTTTCCTCCCCCCGCCTCCAATTGTATTTTACATGCAATATTATAACAGGAAAAAACAAAACAAAACACAAAAAACATCTTTCAGGGCTCCTCACTGATGTGAACTTCAGTGATCACACGAGACCCTTTGGGGTCCACTCCTGGTACCTCTGCCTCCTGAGTCCTAACCACATCTCCCACCTCCCCACCCTCGGATTTCGGCTCCCGCATTCTTGGCGCTCCTTCACCAGGCTTGGCTGCTGGCTTTATGCTTTTGCCCCATTTCTCTGCCAGGGAGAGCCTTGCTTCCCACTCTGCCTCCCCAGTGTGTCACTTGCTGCTGACATAAACATCCACCTTCAGGACTCAGAGGACCTTCAGGACTCAGCCTGCACGTGGCCTACTCAAAAGCGCCTTCCCCGGCAGGATTTGTTGTTATTCCACCTTGAGACCCCACCACATCCGCAGACCACGGCGCTGTCAGGGGATTTCAGCAGGAGAATGGCACGTTCTGCAATTTCAGAAGAGGCCTCTGGCAACCACATCTGCAGCAGGCGTGATCCTGGTATGGGAGAACTAGACAGGAAGCTCTCAGAGGCCAGGGAGGACTCTGACTGGGACAAGGGGGTGGAGCGCTGGGACTCTACCCACTCCTGGTCAGAATTGTCAACCTGCCCTGTGGCTGTCCTGGGCCCCATCTGGATGGTGCTTCTCTTGCTGCCCAACTGCCCCCAGCATTGTTCCCTTCGGTCCCAGCCCTCCACAAAAGAGCTCCCATCTCTGCTAGCCCTGCCTGAGATTCTCCTTGGCCTGAGTTCTACCCTACCCCAGACCCCAAGAGTACTCTCCCTTCTCCCTTCTCTCAGACCACAACATGAGAGAGAAGCCTGAAGCGTCCTCCGTCATCAGGAATGCCGACATTCAGAACACAGACCGAGTGTCTTCAGCCAGACCACGCCTGGCTTCCCGGCCATGGCAGCTACGTGCGAGAATCAGGGTCCTGCAGACGCTGACACCTGGGAACAACCTCAGACAGGCTGGAGTCCAAGGCCTGCCACTGATCACCAATAGACAGTGATCCACAGCAACAGAGTGCCCGGAAGGCCACCTCAACTGGCAAGTTCCTGAGCACCTCTCTATGCCAGGCACTGGGCAGCATGCCTGCAGTGCTCTTGGAAAGATCAGATTAGTGGCAGTGACAACAAATAAAGGAAAATGAACAGGAGTGTGTGCAGCTGGGATGTGGTGTGAGCAGGTCTCCTACACTGTCTGGAAGTCTTTGCAGAATTCTTCTGGAAGGCGGGCCTTTGTCCACGAGTCCTTAGAAAGAGAAGGCAGGGGAGGACTTTCTGCAGGAAAAACAGAGTATGTAAAGCCTAAAAACATCCAAGTAAGGAAACATGTTTCCTGTGCCTCAGTTCCCATTTGGAAATCCTGCTGGGAGATCATGGTGCAAACTCACATCAAAGAACCCGAGATCCAGGCTCAGACCCACCACTCGCCAACCCCATCACTTTGCACCCATCGTGCCTTGTTCAGAATTCTCCAAAATGGCACCACGGATGCTAAACCAATCGTTTGGCAGTTATTTTGGGGTTTAGACCACTATCATGCTGAAGAGGGCCAGACCATGTTGAGGACTTAATAAATGTTTCTAGACCTTCTTGCTTTTCCAACAAGAGAGAGAATCAAGGGCAAAAGCTGTGCCTTATATCTCCTTGTACCTTGGTTAGGACCAAGGACCTCTTCACACCCAGCAAGGCCCTGCTGATGGATTCATTTGCTGGGGCTGTCTTGTCTTTCTCATCTCATCCTCCACCAGAGTGAACTCTTTGACAGCTTTAGTAGCAATTTTCAAATTTCAAAGGCCCCTGCAGGGCTGAAGAAGGTACCCTAGGTAACAAGGTGGAAGAGCCTGACTTATCATCAGGCAGGCAGGAATCATTTGTCTGGAAAATTCACTTGGAGATCACAGAAGCAGCTGTCTACTGTGTCTCAAGCCCCTTGCAGAAGGCTGGCTCCCAGGCAGGAGGAGCAATTGCTTCCCCACAGCCTGGAAAGTCTGCCCGAGACAAGCTCCTACAGGAACAGCAAACACACTTGCCCTTCGCTGCCTCCCCTGCCCCCACCTCACTTCCTCTCCTGCCTTGCTCAGACCCCCTCCCACACCTCTCCCTGGAGTCCGGAATGAGATCAGCACCTCCGGACGGGTGTGTGCCAAGTGACCTGCTTAAACTCATTTGCTCCTGGGACATAATTCCCAAGGAAGTACATTTTAATTAAACTTTCCGGTAAACACGTCTTTTGCTCTATAATAACTCCATTAAAAAGAGATCACTGTAAAGAAGCTGTTCTATCCCATAAACATTGAAAACAGACAAACAGGCTCCTGAGCCAGGCTGGCAGCACTGGAGCTTCTCCACTCCACAGCCTCAGCCTCCCTGCAGGTGCCTGCCTGGGTCCTCCTGCTTCCAGACTTTTTCTCCAGGGGTTTCTCCCCACCTGGAATGCTCAGAGAGCCTCTCTGCCCTCCTCCAGGAACCTTCCCTGATCAGCCTTCACCCATCTGAAGTTTTCTCATAGCCCCAGCTACCCACCCACGTGCCATAAAACAACCTTGCTTGTCACTATCTGCTCTCACCAAGCAGGTCATGAGTGAGGACAAGGAGCAGGCCACATGCTTCTTGGTCTTCCCCAAAGACCCCTTACAGAGAGCTTTGTGCAGGGTAGAAACACAGGGCCACCTAAAATGTCCAACTGCTGACAAATAGTACCTGACAAAAAAAGGATGTCTTATAAGTCATTCAGCTATCTAGAAGAAGTTTTGTCTGATTACCATCTAGAAAAAAGAAGGTATGTGGTTGTTGATTGGTTCTCCTAAATTATTTTAAGAAATGTGCCTGGCTCTCCAAAATACAAGCCGACAATTCCTCACGTACAATTTGAAGTCCAAAAAGCCCTTTAAAAAAGCAGGAGGCCGGGCGAGGTGGCTCATGCCTGTAATCCCAGCACTTTGGGGGCCTGAGAAGGGCGGGTCACTTGAAGTCAGCATTTCAAGACCAGCCTGGCCAACATGGTGAAACCCTGTCTCTACTAAAAATACAAAAATTAGCTGGGCGTGGTGGTACATGCTTGTAATCCCAGCTACTCGGGAGGCTGAGGCAGGAGAATCACTTGAACCTGGGAGGCAGAGGTTGCAGTGAGCTGACATCATGCCACTGCACTCCAGCCTGGGCAACAGAGCAAGACTCTGTCAAAATAAATAAATAAATAAATAAATAAATAGTAAAAAGCTGGAGACCTTGTAATCCCAGTACTTTGGGAGGTGGAAGCATGCATATCGCTTGAGCCCAAGAGCTTGAGATCAGCCTGCGCAACATGATGAAAACCCGTTTCTAGTCCAAACTACTGGGGAGGCTGAGGTGGGAGGATCAGTTGAGCCCACGAGGTCAAGTCTGCAGGGAGCCTTGATCATGCCACTGCATTCCAGCCTGAGTGACAGAGCGAGACCTTGTCTCAAAAAAAAAAAAAAAAAAAAAAAAGAGGAGAATGTAACCCCAGCATTTTGGAAGGCCAAGGCAGGAGGATCCCTTGGGCCCAGGAGTTCAAGACCAGCTTAGACAAGATAGTGAGACAAACCCCTCCCACCACCACCAATCTCCACCAAAACAAAAAATTAGCCAGGCGTGGTGGCACATGCCTGTGGTCCCAGTTACACAGGAGCATGAGGGAGCAGGGTCTCTTTAGCCCAGTAGGTCAAGGCTGCAATGAGCCATGCTCGCACCACTGTACTCCAGCCTCGCACCACTGTACTCCAGCCTAGGCAACAGGTGAGGCTCTGTCCAAAAAAAAAAAAAAAATCAGGGGAAGAAGAATTTTTTTTGTTGCTTTTTAAGCTTATTTGGCAGCAAGATCTGACTTGATCTAAATGTACTTTTACAATTTTAGCAGCAAAATTTTACTTAGTAGAGAGTTGTCTGTTTTACTGCAAAAAATAATAATGTATTAATTACAAGATACTGGCCTGGATCCCGCTGGGAGTGTTATACGGTATATTATACGTATGGACTATATTTCTCTTCTAAAAATAAAAAAAAAAATTGAACTACGAAGCCATCTGACCCCAGCAGTTTCAGAAAATGGATTATAGAGCTAGATGTGCAATGTTCAAAAGTTCCCTGTAGATATTTGTACTCTGAATTCTAGTTTTCTGATCCATGTTTTATAATTTCTAGGGCATCTATAGTAGATTTTATTATTGTTCCCAAATATCTGTTTCTCTCTCCCCTGTAAGAGATGTTTCATTCTTGCCATTGCCTGGGGGGGTTTCAATAATTCCCTTAGGGAGGAGAATAGCCAATGCCTCATTGACCTCAGACTTTGCCAGTGCAGTGAGAGCAGATACACTATATACCACCTCTGAGTGAAGTTTTAAAGTCATTGTATGTGTCAGTTTTTTGTCTTTTTCCTCTGTCATGAGAATGGCATGTCCCAGATAGAAGATGCCCCTTTCACTTGGATCCTGAACTAAAGAAGATAAATGACTTCATACCACATAGGAAAATTAAACTTAATAAATCAATTAAGTTTAGCTAAATATCAGGGCTAAAACAATAAAACTCTTAGAAGGAAACATAGGGGTAAATCTTTATCACCTTGAATTTGGCAATAGATTCCTACATAGGACACAAAATGAATGAACAACAAAAGAAAATAATAGGTAAATTGAACTTCATCAAACTTAAAAACTTTTGTGTATCAAAGGACATTATCAAAAAATACACAAAGGACATTATCAAGAAAGTGAAAAGAAAATCTTCAAAATGAGAGAAAATATTTACAAATTGTATATCTGTTACGGGCCTAGTATCCAGCACATATAAAGAAACTTTGGGCCGGGCATGGCGGCTTATGCCTGCAATCCCAGCACTTTGAGAGGCAGAGACAGGTAGATCACTTAAGGTTAGGAGTTCCAGACCAGCCCGGCCAACATGGTAAAACCCCGTGTCTACTAAAAATACAAAAACCAGCCAGGCATGGTGGTGGGCATCTGTAAACCCAGCTACTTGGAAGGCTGAGGCAGGAGAACTTCTTGATGCCAGGAGGTGGGGATTGCAGTCAGCCGAGATCATGCCTCTGCACTCCAGCCTAGGCGACAGCGAGACTCCGTCTCAAAAGAAAAACCCACATCTTTACAACTAAACAACAAAAAGACATGCAATCCACTTTAAAAATGGGCAAAGGACATGAATTGGTATTTCTCCAAAAAGGATATACAAACAGCCAACAAGCACATGAAACATTGTTCATTGTCATAGAAAAATGCAAATCAAAACCTCAGTGAGATACTACTTCACATTCACTAGGATGGCTGTAATTAAAAAATAGAAAATAAAGCCTGGGAGTGGTGGCTCATGCTTGTAATCCCAGCACTTTGGGAGGCTGAGGTGGGCAGATCACCTGAGGTCAGGAGTTCGAGACCAGCCTGTCCAACATGGTGACACCTCGTCTCTATTAAAAATACAAAAAAAATTAGCCAGGTGTGGTGGTGCAGCCTGTAATCCCAGCTACTGGGGAGAGTGAAGCAGGAGAATCGTTTGAACCTGGGAGGCGGAGGTTGCAGTGAGCTGAGATCGCGCCATTGCACTCCAACTTGGGCAACAAGAGTGAAATTCCTTCTCAAAAAAAAAAATAAGTAAAATAAAAAATAGAAAGTGTTAGTAAAGATGTGGAAAGATTGGAACACTGGTATATTGCTGGTGAAGTTATAAACTGATATAGCCACTGTGAAAAATAATTTTGTGATTCCTCAAAAAAATTAATGTAGAATTATCCTATGACCCAGCAGTTCCACCAGGACATCCCTGGTCCAAATATTAAAAACTAGTACTAAAACAAATACATATACACACATGCTTATAGCAGCACTATTTAGAATAGCCAAAAGGTAGAAACAGCAGGTATGTTCACCAATGAATGGATGGATAAACAAATAATACACATGTAATGGAGTATTATTTAGCCATAAAAGAAAGGAAGTGCTGATATGGGCTACAAAGTGAATGAATCTCAAAACTAATGTTAAATGAAAGAAGCCAAACACAGAAGATCATGTATTGTATGATTTCTTTTATGTGAAATATTCAGAATAGGGAAATCCACAGAGACAGATCACAGATCAGTGGCTGCCAGGGGGTGAGGGAAGAGGGGAATAGGGATCAACTATTAATGGGTTTGGGGTTTTTCTTTTGTTATGATGAAAATGTTCTCCAACTAGATGGAGGTGGTGGTTGTACAGCACCGTGAATGTATTAAATGCCACTACATTGTTCACTTTAATATTTAACATATATATAATATAACATTATGTTATATAAATGTCTTTTTTTATTTTTTATTTTTTTTATGTAGAGACAGGGTCTCACTATGTTGCCCAGGTTGGTCTTGAACTCCTGGCCTGAAGGTTCTCCCACCTCAGACTCCCAAAATGCTGGGATTACAGATGTGAGCCACTGCACCTGGCCATATATTATAGAATGTCATCTCAATTTTAAAAAGGAGAGATGAGAAAGAGGAGCAGTGAAGACCCAGAATGATTACTGGTGTGAAAACATATCAGTCTTTTTTTATTTCTCAGAGCCAAAGGCCAAAGATGGCTGGAGCCACCTGCCATTCCCTCTGGCCTGCCAAACCTAGAATGTATCCCTAAGGTCATGTGATATGATCACTGTCCTGTGAGTCAGGATATGGGAAGGCGGGGGACACTGTTTTTCGTGTCTCCTCCCTCACCTCCACTGAAGTCATCCCTAGTGCCAGGACTGAGGGGGTCCTGCACAGTGTGCTCACCATGGAGCTAGCTCTGACATCTGTTATGGCCAGCAGGGTCCTGGCAACCGGAGGAGATATGGCAGAGATCTTGAGAGCCCCAGAGGATCCTCTTTGGCCTTGATCCTCTGTGTGATGCTTGGCCTGGAGACTCTATGCCAGACAATGCAGCATCCCCAAGGAGGCTGTATGGGAGATGACAGCTTTTATCATCATAGTGGGAGTTCCTATGCTTAAAACTTTGAGTTTCTATGCTAGGGGAGACAAAGAACTGGCCACTGGAGTCTCTGTCCTTTCAAAAGAAAGGCATCATATTTTTGAAAGGTTTTGCCACATTGCAAGAGAATTTGGAGACCTTAAATCCACTATCCTAGATGTCAGACTCAAGAACAAACTATCATAAATAGCAAATGTGAAAACCACGAATAAAGAGTTGGAAAGCTCTAACTCTCTACTTGGTCTTAGAATAGATTATTACAGAGAAACATGAAAAAGAACAGAAATCTACATGTTTACAGGAAGTTCAGCTGATGACTGAGATTACAAGCAAGTCCCAGTCCTTAGAAGACTCAACTAAGCAAATCTAACAAGTGGCTACAAGCAAAACATTCTTCAAAATCCCTCAGAAGTATGGAGAACAGCTTCAGGAGCACTAACAGAGACTTTGGAGGAAAATTCCAGTCTTCAAAGACGCATGAAGCTGCTTTCACAAGAATCTCAAAAATGGAGTGAACAAAGTTACTAAAGAGAAAAAAAAATCTCGGAAAACTCTAGACTGGGCTGGGAGCGGTGGCTCAAGCCTATAATCCCAGCACTTTGGGAGGCCAAAGTGGGAGGATCACCTGATCTCGGGAGTTTAAGACCAGGCTGGGCAACATGGCAAGATCTAAACTCTACAAAAAATAGAAAAATTAGCCAGGAGTGGTGGTACACACCTGTGGTCCCAGCTGCCTGGGAGGCTGAGGTCGGGGAATCACTTAAGCCTGGGATGTCAAAGCTGAAGTGAGCTGCAATCATGCCACTGCACTCCAACCTGGGCAGCAGAGTGAGAACTTGTCTCCCAAAAAATTTAAAAAAAAAAAATTTAATTTAAAAAAATCTCTAGACTGCCTGTGGAGCAAGTTCTTAACAAAAAGAATCATGTCAAGATTCTAAGTGAACACTTGCTAGTGATAAACAAATGGGCTGCTGTTCTTGAGCAAGACAACACAGATCATGAGAACCTGGAATTGAATATATGAATGGCATCTAATGGTGATCTCTTACAAGATAATTCCAGAAGTGTTTCGAAGGAACTAATTTATGGGGTGGAGTATATATACTTATTTTTAAACTCTGCAAAACAAAATAAACAAAATGTACATGAAATTAACTAAAGAAACCAAAATAATCAATGCACTTAAAGAGCACATGCAAAGTCCCAAACCAAGAAAGCTTCAGTGCAGCCAGTAAACAGTCAGAAAAGGAGTCACAAAAGCTCCTGCAAAAACATCTGTTTCTTTCTAAATCTCATTGAGAAAAAGAAATGTTTACCCCATATCCAATCTATAGAGAATTTGCCCTGTAAAAATAAAAAAGAATCTTTCCAATGCAGAAGAAAACATTAGAATGCATCTGAAGAGTTATGTACCTATAAAATTCAAGCCAACATTATTTCAGAAAAATTTGGAAGAATAACTATTATGAAAACCTTCTTATTTCCCAAGAAAGAAAAGTTCATGATTTTGGGATGAGAGCTTTGTTAGCTGAAAAACCACAATAACATAAGAAAAGAAAATAGGCCAGGCGCGGTGGCTCACGCCTGTTATCCCAGCACTTTGGAAGGCCGAGGCGGGCGGATCACAAGGTCAGGAGATAGAGACCATCCTGGCTAACACGATGAAACCCCGTCTCTACTAAAAATACAAAAAATTAGCCGGGCGCAGTGGCGGGCGCCTGTAGTCCCAGCTACTCGGGAGGCTGAAGCAGGAGAATGGCGTGAACCCGGGAGGCGGAGCTTGCAGTGAGCCGAGATCCCGCCACTGCACTCCGGCCTGGGTGAAGGAGCGAGACTCCGTCTCAAAAATAAATAAATAAATAAATAAATAAATAAATAAATAAATAAATATAGATATATCACAAAGGAATCGATTGAGGCCGGGTGTGGCTGCTCACATCTGTAATCCCAGCACTTTGGGATGCCGAGGCAGGTGGATCATCTGAGGTCAGGAGTTCAAGACCAGCCTGGCCAATGTGGCAAAACCCCGTCTCTACTAAAAATACAAAAAATTAACTGGGCGTGGTAGTGCATGCTTGTAATCCCAGCTACTGGGGAGGTTGATGCATGAGAATCACTTGAACCCGGGAGGCGGAGGTTGCAGTGAGCCGAGATTGCACTACTGCCCTCCAGCCTAAGCAACAGAGCAAGACTCCATCTCAAAAAAAAAAAAAAAAAAAAAATGAAAGAAAGAAATTGATTGAGCAAGAATGTAAAGATCTGTAAAAGTATCCTTCCATCCTTGAAATTACCAATGAGGCATTTGGCAGAGGCCCAAGGGCACACTACACACTACTTGCCATGGCGAGATCCCTGGTAAAGGACAGCATCAGGCTGTGATGTGGAACACGTGGTCTGGTGCCCAGTGCTGACCACTTGCCACCCTTTGAGGTCTCTCAACAAGCAGGTTCTCAGCTTGTCATGGTGCTCCTTGTACAGGCAGAAGCTCAACTGCTGCTCTTGATTCAACCACCTTACATGCGAGGGGAGCAGCCGGGTTCTGATATTCCATGAGGTTCCAGAGAGAAGTTCCTCAGATAAGGACAACCAGTGCTTCCCCTTCTTCTAATAGCAAAGACAAAGATCCCCCAAAGTTTCCTCTACAAAGGGTCCTTTCTGGCCTGGCACTAGGATCCCATGGCAACCAGCAACACCTCAGCAGCAGCTGCTAGCTTCCATCTTGTGTCCACACCACCTGGAAACAGAAGCGGCTCCCCATCCAAGTTGATCCACCTTCCATTGTGTCCACTTTGAAGATCCAGGACAACTGCAAGATGTTTTTTGTCTCTCTCCACAAAAATGTGTGTTTATTGTGTCTTTTTAGTATTATTCTATTAAGAGATTATACAATGGCTCAATTAGAAACATGATAGGCTATAATTGTTAGTATAATATGTTAGAAGTGTAGAGTATAAAATATGAATCTTATAAGTTAACTGCTTCCATTTTATTTAATTTGTAGGTAGTGTACTTAGTGTAAAATATAGTAATCTGGAAGCACAGTAGATTGGTTCTTGCTATTTAACATGTCACCTGGAACATCAACTGTAATAGGAGTTTCCCATGAGAAGTTTCACCAGTGGCGGCAACATTTGAAACTCAAGGTTGATTTCTACATAACAAGTGCTCAATACCTCCTGGTTGTAAGATTAATATTTTTACCATTGTAAAATTTGGTCAACAAAAAAACAGAAAGCTTTTTTTTAAAGATACATGGAGCAAAGTAGAATTCTAGCAAACCTGTTGCCCACAGTAAATATGAGTGAGCAATGAGTCTTAGCTGGTGTGAGCTCTTGGGATTTAGGGAGGGGCAGTGTTTGTCTCCACTGCCTAACCTAGGGAAAGCCAACAGCTAAACATGCTGAATATCAAAGGGAAAGGAATTTTCAAAACAAACCTAGTGAAACATTTTAAAATTTTAATAGAGATGATCCTCCCTCTTCTTGTCCTCTCCCAACGCTCGTACAGCCTAGACCCACCTCATCTGAGTCAGGAATGGGCACAAAGTCCTTCTTTCTTCAGTGATTCCACCTACAATTCTAGAGCATGGGGTGGGAGCCGGGGAAGATGAGATACTCTATTTCCCCTTGCAGCAGCATTTGAGAGCCAATGAAATCCTGAGCATCCTTGGGAAAGTCTTCTTTAGGAGATCTCAACTGAGAGAAGTCCATTTTTTTCAGCTAATCTTCTCTCCTGGATACTGCCCTTTCTCCCACTTTCCTCCTTACTACTTGGTCAAGGAATTTTTTTAAATGACTAACATTCATGTTGAGGGTGCCAGGCACTCTACTAAGATCCTTACTTGTGTTATCTCTACACCCTTCCTGCAGTCGTGAAGAGAATGCTGTTAGTAGCTCACTGCACAGTTGAAGAGACTGGGGCACAGGAGACTCAGTACCTAGTTAAGTGGTGGGGCCAGATTCAGATCCACAGACACCATGCATGAGCACTTGTGCTGAGGATGAGATAGCCACACCGCCTGTTCCACACGTCGCTCTTGTTTTAGTGAGCACTCCGCAGAGCTTTCAGAAACACCAGCTCACTTGTCCTCTCCTGAGGCATTGGTATTCTTATCCTAGGAAACCGAGCCCAAAGTAGTTCTGGGTCTCCCACTCAGGGCCTCAGCTAGAGGGGTGCAATGAGATGCTGGTTCTGATACAGCTCATTTCCCCTTCCCCTAGCCACATGGTTGCCTGTTTCAGGAGGATCCCAGCCTTGAATTCCTGTGAGAGCAAATCCAGGGCCTCCCGGAGCAGCTGTGAGGCTGTTCTCCTCTACCTGGGAAGGACAGACATTCCTGGCAAGAGACCCTCAGAGTGAAGCTGAACCATCCAAGTCCTTGTGTTCACTTCCAAGAGGGAGGGATTCTGAAGTGAGGGAAACGTGCTTCACATGAAGTTGCCCAACTGTCTTTCCTCCATGATCTTAAATACTGATAGGCATGCGGGCTCTAATTCTAACAGTTAAAGAAGGAAAGGAGGGAGGAAATGAGAAAGGAGCAGGAAGGGAAAGGAAGAGGAGGAAAGGGAAGAGCAGGGAAGAAAAAAAAAAGAATAATCCAAATTTATTTATTTGTTTATTATTTATTTATTTTGAGACAAAGTTTCGCTCTTGTTGCCCAGGCTAGAGTGCGATGGCGTGATCTCGGCTCACCGCAACCTCTGCCTCCCGGGTTCAAGCGATTCTTCTGCCTCAGCCTCCCCAGTAGCTGGGATTACAGGCATGCGCCACCACACCGGCTAATTTTGTATTTTTATTAGAGATGGGGTTTCTCCATGTTGGTCAGGCTGGTCTTGAACTCCCGACCTCAGGTGATCTGCCCGCCTTGGCTTCCCAAAGTGCTGGGATTACAGGCATGAGCCACCGCGCCCAGCCGATAATCCAAATTTAAAAAGACAAGTGAAAACTAGATATAAAAGCTGATATTATTCCGGGATGCATGAGACACCAAATGCCTGTATACCTGCATAGGTCTGTAGAGAGATGAGGATTTCCCACGTTCATCACTTAGGTTGCCACTGCATTTCTTATTTCAACACCTGCCACGTGCTTATATTTAAGATAGTATGAGATTTTAAAACGATTAATGACTCTGTAAATGAAAATTACTTTTAATTTTCACTGGGCTCAATTTCATACAAGGACTTGGGCTCTATAAATCCTCATTACTAAATATTTTTAAAATTACTTTCACATAAAAATAGAAAAATAAACATTATATCTCACATTTGAAAAAATGCACTTACAGTTTGAAAACCAATTTTGCAATGATTATTTTACTCAGTTTTCTTGTGGGGAGGCAGGATCAAGCAGAATTCATTCACACGTGTATTTATGAAGCACCTACTGTATGCCATACAAGATGGAGATGTAGAAAATCCATTGTGTGAACTGCGTCATCCACAAGGTGTCAACTAACTACATTATCCGGGAAACAAGGCACTCAAGGCCGTGTAGGAGACCTGAAACTGAGTATCAAAGTGATTCTTCCAAAACCACCAGGAAGTTGTTGGCAGACTTGAACCCAGAGCCCCTGACAGAGTCTAACGCTCTCTCACCACCTCATCTCTTTGGACGTAAGTACATGTTGAGTGTACAAGGTCTTGATTCAGAGGTAGCTTCAGACAAACTACATTTTAAAAGTGTATGGTTTTTCATATGTTCCCAGGAAGTGAGCAAATTCGATCTCTTCCTGCTCAGGGGATCCCACCTTAATCACCTACTAGAATTCTACAAGCTGTTTCAAGAAAGTTGCAAATAGTGCTGCCAAAGCCCCTGGTATTCCTCTCATCAAAAGCCTAGAAAGAAAGAAAAAAAGAGAGAGAGAGAAAAGAAAGAAAAAAACGGAAGTAAATAAACTTTAAAAGGAAAGAAGGAAGGAAGGAAGGAATTATTTTATAGAAGATGAAGTTTACATATGTTCAAACATCTGCAAATCCAAACTTCTTATTTGTCCCGTGTGTTTGGGTAGTGGCAGATATTCAGCAGCCCAAGCTTTCATCGTTTCTATTGGAGAATGTGGGGTGAGTTTATTGGGTTAAAATCGGCTTTGTTTGGGTTTGCACCGCCCTTGTTCCCCGGGAGCCCCACATGGGGCGCCAACATGGCCTGGAAGAGGGGCATGTCAAGTGCCCCCCATCATGCATTGTTGCTGCGCAGTGAACTGGAGTCTCAGAGGGGAAGGGAAAAAAAGTAATTCCTCATTTTCATCCTGACCAGGATTCCCCTTTTCTTTGGCGGCCCCCAGCCGCAGTAATCCGCATTCACGGCGCCCAGCCCCGGGTTCCTCTCGGAGTTCTCCCGCTCCTGTCATTGTCTTCTTATCTGGGCCGCTTCTTCCAATGGTGCTCCTTGAAAGCGCTTTCACCGACAAAAAAGGACCAGCTCCATAATGGCCAACTTGGCCCCTTTCTTCTCTCTCTCTCTCCCTCTCAGTCTTTTTTTTTTTTAAGCTTTCCGACGGAGCCGGGCTATTTAATCTTCTTGAGGCGTTCAAGATGTCACTTACCTCTGATGGTGGAGACAATGGGGAAATACTTCCAGCCTGAATGCCGAGCAGTGCTGAATGCCTCTGGCTGCTTTGAAGAGGGTTCTTGGAAGTCTCTGTTTCAGCTGTGGTGGCCCCAGTGCAGGTCTTTTTGTGCAATCTATGCATGCCTCCAGGCCAGCCTCACCAGAGGCGCTTTAGCGTAAAGCACAGTGAATGGCTTTGTCATCACACAGAACCTGGTTCAAATCCCAGCTCAGGCTTGGGCCGATCAGTCATTTAATTATCCCAGGCCTCAGTTTACCTATCTGCGAAAACAGAAGTGAGAATAGCAGGGCCTCAGTTTCCCCTCTCTGTGAAATGTAAGCGAGAGTGATTCCTGCATGAGTCTGCTGCAAAAATTGAATGATAATGAAAAGTACATACCCTCGGCTTCCCACCCTGAAAGTATATGTGTGTGTGTGATTAATTAATGGATTGATTATATAATTTCCTGGCAACTGAAGAGCTAGTGTGTGGAATGCTCACATTCCTTTCTGATGGAAAGGAGTAAGAGGAGTTTCATTAATTAATGAATTGGTGCAGAAGGAACCAAAGGCGCACAACCTTAGTCACCTTTGACCTCTCTCTCCCCACATCCATGAGTCACAGACCTTGCTGACCCTGCCTTTTGCAGGCCACTCCCGCCCCACTGCACTGCCCCCAGGCAAGCCAGCTTGAGTCAAATGGCACTCCCTTGCTCCAGAACATTTCATCTCTCCCTATTGCTTACAGGGTGAAAGGCAAACTCTTCATCTTCGCTTTCTAGACCCCCGATGATTGGCCTGTTTTTCCAGCCTCAACTCCTATCTTTCCCTTCCACGAACCCCACACTCCAGCCAAAGGATTCTCTGCAGCACAGTTTCCCAGCTTCGTGGTGCTGTGGCTTCAGCTTGGAATAATGTCCTCTCCTGCATATCAACCTCTCAAATCCCAACATCCTTCAAGGCCCATGGGAAGGCTTCATTCAGCTTGCACCACACCTCTGCCCCACAGCACATGCCTCACTTCCATTAAACAAGCACTTGATCAAGCTGCTCCTCTGAGCCCAGAAATTAGAGACTCCACAGTGACTAAGCCACAGCCCCTGACACCGAAAAGCTTACAACAGTCTGTGGAGCGCCGGTCTGTCTCTTCTTGCTCAGAAGCCCCAGTGCGTGCCCTGCAAAAGCAGAGTTGCTCCACCCTCGTCACCCAGCAGTGCTTGGTGCTTAGAAAATGCTCAGTCTCTAAGATACTGGATGAGGGAATATGGCTCTTTTTTTCTATTGAGTACCCAGCATTTGCCAGGGGCCAAACTAATTAAGTCACATATGTCTATGAGGAGTAGGCTCCATCCCCATTTTATAGCTGACAAAACCGAGGTGCAGACAGATTAGCTGACTGGACCAAGGCCGTATCTAATGTGAGGCCAAGCTAATATCTAATGCAGTTTTCGCTTACAAAGAAATACTCCTGTCTCATCCAAGAACAAAGTTTGATAGTTTTTACTGAGGTTATCAGGTGAGATTTTTTTTCAGAAAACTCAGATAGAAGAGGGAAATTTGACTGGTCAGAGACCAGTACCATACAAAGAAAATGACCTGGGGACAATCTGATGCTCAGAGCTGCCCTCATCCCTGTGCTAACCTGGGTGGCACACAGGCCACTAATGTCGTGTGTATGAAATATACATTATGCACCTTCTCCGAGGCCCCGCGTGCAGTGAGGGCGAGGAGAGCCGTCCCCGAGCCGTGTACAACTTTTCATTTCCCATATCAATCATGAGAACAAGTTGAAGTTCAGATAATGGCAGCTTGGTTTCCCCTAATTGTTCAGGATTTAGACTGACTGTTTGCACTGCAGACTGCGGCCACTGGGTTCCCGGCGGGGGGCTGTGGCCGGCTCTTTCTCTAACAAACCCGTGTTCATGCGTCCATTCAGATCCATCACCCTGAGATAAACTGTGAATATTGCCCTTTGTCGCCGCTGCATTCTTCCCGGCATTGTGGGGGCACTATTTACGGATTTAAAGGTTCATTTGCACAATTCTTTTGTCAGCAGCCCAGGCGCAGAATGGCAAAGTGAGGGCTGCCTCTTCTTTCTGGGTTACTGCCCCGAGCTCTCCCTGAGCAGAAGGGACATGCCTGCCCTCGGACTTAGCATGAAGAATGTCAATGCGAAAATTACATTTTTTAAATGACCTGTCTGCTTCCGTGGCCAGAGAGGCCACCGGTTCACAGAGGGCGGGGTTTACGTGTTGCCCCTCCAGCCCTTTGGCAGTGTTCGCAGACACGCAGCCTTTGAAAAGCAGCCCAGGGTACAACATGGCACGATTACACTAAGCAGCATTGTGATCATGTCCCATAATGAGGGCTTCAGGTTCCAGGCACAGTGCAAAGTGCTCTGTATGCATCAGCCTCCTTAGTCCCATTTTACAGAGGGGGAAACTGAGGCACTAAGAATTTAATTAATTGTTTGAGATCACAGGGCAAGAAAACGGCAGAGCTGAACTTCCAACCCACAACTTTCTGGCTCCAAACCTGTGCTCCTTCAAGTGTACGCTGCAAAGTTTTGATCAGAGAACTCGGAGCTGGGCTTCTGAATGAAGTGGTAAGGATGTGTGCCACCAACAGTGTGGCACAGAAATGCATGTGGCCAGATATCAAAGAACAGGAATGCATTACTGTCTCTGTGTATGGCGCAGCCTCGGGGACCTTCCGCAGGAGCCTCCTCCTCCTCCTCTCACCCTGCTGTCAGCCCTCTGACAGCATGCTGCCTCATTTGAGGTAATTCTTAACTATGAGCCTTACCCACTTCCCACAAGGTTGCAGGCTCCCTGAGGGTAGGGACTGATCTTTCCTATCCGTCTCTCCAGTGCCAGGCATGGGCCCTGGCTGATAACACACACATACTAAACATTCCGGAAAGAATGAGTAGATGAATGACTTTTCTGCAATATGGAGGATGCATCTTTTGGAAATTTTACTGGGCAAAATAATTATTCTGCATGCAACTACAAGTCCTGCAGCTCTGCTGGGAAGAGATGAGAATGAAGCAGAGGACAATTTTGTGGGTTCACTTTGCTGGGGATGGAAAGGAAAAGCAAAGGGAAAAAAAGAAAGCTGTCATCCAGAGCCCCACAGAATGCTAATCTGTTTTACAGTAAAGATCTATTTGTATCTCTTTTGTGAAATAATACCAAACTTTCTGTTAGTCAGAACGCAACCAAATGTCTTTGGCCCTTGGGGGTCCACACTTTGTCACAGTGGATGGAAGAAAAGGAAGAGAGAAAAAAATAAAAGGAAGAGTGAGGAAGTATTGGGGTTTGCAAGTGGCAAGGAAAAAGAGAAATCATTTCTTAAAAGACAGAAGCAAAAAAACTATATTTTTAGCATTGTTATAATCAGTTAGTGTAATACATCTTCCAATAGTCCCAGTGAATATCAAAATGAATAATCTCAGATTTGCATAATCTGGTAATGAATTTGATAGTAACCAAATACAAAGGATTTTTTAGAATATCATGATTACTCTTAGACAGAGGTTAAAAATAGATATTACTCTTGAAGGACGGTTTAAATTTGCTTTGCAAATAGATCTTGGGTTCATGCTCTGGCTTAAAATACAGCATGTGCTTCATGCCCCAGTAGCACGACTGGTGTCTTATACAGAAAAAGTTTAAAATACATTATGTCCTTTGTTCTTATAATTCCACTTCGAGAATATTCCCAGCCTGAAATACAGACATGGTATTATGCAAAAAGATGTTCATTGCAGTGTTTTTTATGAGCAAAAATACACACACACATAAATTGAAAGGAGATTGCATAAGTCCATTAATGGTTCTGTAAATATATCAGTGTTCTGTAAATATATCAGCGTTAATGATGTCAATTTTTAAAAACCCAGAATACAAAATTTTTGTTGTTGTTGTTTGAAATGGAATTTCACTCTTTTCTCCCAGGCTAGAGGGCAATGGTGCAATCTAGGCTCACTGTAACCTCTGCCTCCCAGGTTCAAGCTATTCTCCTGCCTCAGCCTCCCGAGTAGCTGGGATTACAGGTGCCCACCACCAAGCCCAGCTGATTTTTGTATTTTTAGTAGAGACCAGGTGTTATCATTCTGGCCAGGTTGGTCTCGAACTCCTGACCTCAGGTGATCTGCCTGCCTCTGCCTCCCAAAGTGCTGGAATTACAAGCATGAGCCACCTTGCCCGGCCCCAGAATAAAAAATTATGTATGCGTTATAAGCCCAATCATGCAAAAATAAATATTCACAGAATAAAAGGACTGGAATAAATTTGAGGACATTGTTGTCATTGATGACTAGGCTAGAGACATGACAAGGGAAGGGTTTGCTGTTTATACATTTCGATAATCTATAGATTTTATATATTGCTTTGATTGGTTTTTCAATGCTTTTTTAATGAGCACCTATGATGTTTCAAATGCTGCAAGCTAAAGGCACAGCCATGAAAAAGGCAGGAGAGGCCCTGCCCTCTCCGAGCTTGCATTCCATGATGTGGGTGGGGGAAATACAGACATCACAGTAATTTCACAATCAATTACCCACAACAGTGGTGGTAGGTATTGCAAAGGGGCAGATCAGGGAGGTCTGTCAGTATATAACAGAGGTCCAGTGTGTAACTGGTGATGGGTGGGAGGGTTGAGAATAGTTCAGGGAAGATTTCCCTGAGTAAGCAATGTGCTGAATTTTGAACAATGAGTAGGAGTTACCCAGATAAAAAGGAGAAGGATGTCAGTCCAGGAGCACTGAACACTGTGACTTCCCCACCATTCCTTCTACCCCATCCACAAGGCTGGAGAAACCAGGTGGTTGAGTTTTGTGTGTGGTGATAGAGGAAGAGAAAAGGGATTCACCTTATCCCTCAGTCCAGGAGTGGATGCTGGTTATTTTTAATTCAATCAGGCTAACCTTATTCTCCATGCACCGGCCATTCATTCAGATAATTTAGGCCCAATGTAAATGATTCATGACTTTTCCTCAGCCAGGGTATTCGTTCAGGAATTGGCGATACATGCCAACGAGACCTAAAGGGAGATTTGCCATAGTTTCTTGAGAAGGAGAAGAGGAGACTGAAGTCAATACTCTTTTTTTTTTTTTTTGAGACGGACTCTCACTCTGTTGCCCAGGCTGGAGTGCATTGGCGTGATCTCCGCTCACTGCAAACTCCGTCTCCCAGGTTCAAGTGATTCTCCTGTCTCAGCCTCCTGAGTAGCTGGGATTAAAGGCACACTGAGTAGCCTAATTATTCTATTTTTAGTAAAGACAGAGTTTCACCATGTTAGTCAGGCTGGTCTCGAACTCCTGACCTTGTGATCCGCTCACCTCAGCCTCCCAAAGTGCTGGGATTACAGGTGTGAGCCACCGTGCCCAGCCGGTCAATACTTTTTTAAGGGAGCTACTAAAAGCCACTATCACTCTCCTGCTGGACAGACTGCTAGGTGGATATAAAGCCTAAAAGACCTGTGCAGCCATTTGACACCATAAGGAAGCCAGCATTGGGAAGAAAAGCAGAGAGGTGGAAGGAAACTGGATGAGCTTAAGAGGACAGATTAGGAAGGTCTCATAGGATATGTAAAGAATTTGATGCTACTCTAAACATGAACCATCACTGAAGGGAGTTGGGCAGAGGAGTGACTTGAAAATATCTGTGTTCTTAAGAGATCGCTCTGGCTAATTACGTACAAAATGGATTTGGAGGTGGGAGGGCAGGAGATGGGTAAAAATAATTTGAATAGAAGTGATGGTAGGGAAGTTAGAGGTAAGAAGGCAAATTCCAGAGATAAGAAAGAAGTCAAGGCCAGGTGCAGTGGCTCATGCTTATAATCCCAGCACTTTGGGAGGCCAAGGTAAGAGAATTGCTTGAGCCCAGGAGTTTGAGACCAGCCTCGGCAACATAGTGAGGCCCTGTCTCTACATGAAACAAATAAAGAAAAAAAAATTAGCCATGTTCAGTGGTGCATGCCTGTAGTCCCAGCTACTTGGGAGGCTGAGGTGGAAGGATCATTTAAGCCCGGGAGATCAAGGTAGCAGTTAGCTATGATGGCACCACCGCACTCCAGCCTAAGGAACAGAGTGAGACCCTGTCTCACAAAAAAAAAAAAAAGAGAGAGAGAGATCAAGATAATGACACTTTCCGACTGTATGAAAAAAATGGAGAGAAGGAAGTAAGCAAAGATATTGGAAATGAACTTAAGGTTTAAGGCTTTCAAATTTAAATGGATGATGAAGACATTCACTGAGGTAGTAAACCCCCAAGGAAGACCAGAGTTAAGGAAAACATTGCTGAGTCTGGTGTTGCATATGTTGAGTTTGAGGAGCTTTTGTGGCACCCCAGTGGAGGTGTCACATGAGTAGCTGAACAAATGGGTCTCGAAACCTGAGGACTTGTCATGTGTAGATGGCTCCTGGAGTCAGGGGTGTGGAGGAGATGACCTAGTAGGAAGATGAAAAGAGACCCAGGGATTAAGCCAAGGAGCTCAACATTTAAGAACAAGGTCTGAAGACATCATAGAAGAATGCTTAGACAGGTAAGGAAGCCCAGGAAAGAGAGGGCTTCGAGAAGGTGGTTGTGGTTAATGATGTTAAAACGTCAAGTAAGAAGATGACCAAAAATGTGCTTTGGAATAATGATTTGAATGAGCTGGAAGCATGATGGAGGTTGAGACCAGACTGGACCAAGTTGGCAAGTGAGTGGGCAGGGAGGGTAGTATCAAACATGGACAAATATGCATAGAGTTCTGATATTTGGCCAAAGATGGAGAAGCTATTCTGGGAACAAACTCCAGTGAGCTGGCAGCAATGAGTTCCACTCCTATAGAGGACTGTGTCATACTCCATGATTCTCCAGTTTCTCAACCTAGGAATATCGCTCAGCAGTGACTCTTCTTTCAGCCCATTGGACACGGGGAACTACAGACAGATGGGTCCTTCCTTCTTTGTTTACTCATTCATTTTTTGTGGATTAAATGAGTTGCCTAGAAGAGTCAATCCAGCCAGTGGTAGGATTTATCCCTAAATTTTTATTTCTAGATATGTTCATTTTCTAGGGCTTCCATAAAACTGGGTGGTTTAAAACAACAGTAATTTATTGTCTCATAGTTCTTTTAGCCTTCTGTCTGAAGGCTAAAAGTCCAAATCAAGGTCTTTATTCCTTTCAGAGCCTCTAGGGAAGGATTCTTCCTTGCCCCTTCCAGCTTTTGGTGGCCCAGACATTCCTTGGTTTAGGCAGCATAACTCCAATTTTTGTTCTGTCTTCACAGAACCATCCTCCCTGTGTATTTCCAGGCTCAAATGTTCCTCTTCTTAGGCGGACAGCAGTCACATTGCATTAGGGACCACCCTGCTCCAGTATGACCTTATGTTAATGTAAGTAATGATATTTGCAATAACTTATTTCCAAATAGCATTGTATTCTGAGGTCCTGGGGTTTGGGGCTTCAACATATCTTTCTGGGGACACACATCAACCCATAACAATAGGTATGAATTTTCATCATACCTAGTGTTTCACCATACCTAGGATTTGCAGGCTGGGGACATAACCACCACGCTCCTAGGATTTGCAAGCTGGCAACATAACCAACAAGCTAAGGAGCCATACCTAGGGTTTGCCATACCTAGGATTTGCAAGGAGCTTGGTGCTACAGCTTGTAAATCCTAGATATGGACACCACCTTTGTCAGGAGCCACATTTGGTGCACTCACCATTTGGCAAAGGGAAGAATGATTTTCGTCCAGGCTAAGATGTCAATGGAGAATACAATGTTTATTGAAGTGGCTCATTAAGGGCTATCCTCACAGGGTTATCTCGCCCACACTGGGGCTCTCTACCAATTCAAATGAGGTCCATTCTTAAAGAAATGACAAGAACCACATGCTCCTTTCTGATTTTCAAAGAAATTAGAGACAGGATAAAATGTCATCCAGTCATCCCACAACCATACCATATGCTTACCCATGTCGGCCTCTGGGGATAGACAGGCTGTGGGACCACCCTGGATATTCAGCACAGCCCCTGGCACTGGGAATTCCTTGCCTAGTAAGAGAAATAGAATGGACACAGCAAGAGCCGAATGTTTGCTGAGCAGGTAGTATTAGAAAAGCTGTGATGGTAGAAAGAGGATTTGCTCTTCTTCATCCTAATCCACAATTACAAGTTTTGTTGGTTGGTTGGTTGGTTGAGTTTTTTAGAGACAGAGTCTCATTCTGTTACCCAGGCCGGAGTGCAGTAGCATGATCATAGTTCACTGCAGCCTCGAACTCCTTGGCTCAAGCAATCCTCCCACCTTGGCCTCCCAAATAGCTGGGATTACAATTCTGAGTATTATTCTAACCCCCAAAATTACTAAGAGTGAGTGGCATACACCAACTGAGCCAGCCAGGAGAGTGGCTGCCTTGTCACTTTTGAAAAGTTTTTGTCCTTATGGTTAGTTTGTATTATGAGCTTTTGGTGGTCCTCTCACAGATACCACAGTTACATTTTATCTATACACATATTCCTCCAGTAATGAGTACTAACTGATCCATGTGCTAGGAAAGAAAGGCACCTGCTGCCCGGCTGCCATTTGCTGCACAGTGCAGTGGAAGAGCCCAGCCCTGGAATGACACTCCAGTCAATGTGCCATCCATGGGTTTGTTAAGAATTGCAAATCCTTATACACATTAGTAAGCTTCTCTGAGACTCAGTTTACTCCACTGTGCCCAGTGAGCTGACACTACCTAGCACTGTTGGAGGATTACAGTTAAGGAAGATCAGAGAGGCCTCAATATAGTAGATGCTCCACAAATATGCCTTGTCTTCACTCCTACATTTGCCCATGTTTCATTGAGTCACAAATATTTACTGAACACCTCACACTAGACTCTGTTTTAAGTAATGGTGACAGCAAAGTGAATAAAATATTCTTGCTTTTTCAGAGCTTACATTCTTGTGGGAGCAAAACAGACAATGAAAAGGTATTTTTCTGGCCGGGCGCGGTGGCTCACGCCTGTAATCCCAGCACTTTGGGAGGCCAAGGCGGGCGGATCACGAGGTCAGGAGATCGAGACCATCCCGGCTAAAACGGTGAAACCCCGTCTCTACTAAAAATACAAAAAATTAGCCGGGCATAGTGGCGGGCGCCTGTAGTCCCAGCTACTTGGGAGGCTGAGGCAGGAGAATGGCGTGGACCCGGGAGGCGGAGCTTGCAGTGAGCCGAGATCCCGCCACTGCACTCCAGCCTGGGCGACAGAGCAAGACTCCGTCTCAAAAAAAAAAAAAAAAAGGATTTTTCTTTCTTTTTTTTTTTTTTTTTTCTTTTTGAGATGGAGTCTCACTCAGTCACCCAGGCTGGAGAGCAGTGGCATGATCTCGGCTCACTGCAACCCCTGCCTCCTGGGTTTACGCAATTTTCCTGTCTCAGCCTCCCAAGTAGCTGAGACTACAGGTGCCTGCAACCACGACTGGCTAATTTTTGTATTTTTAGTAGAGACAGGGTTTCACCATTTTGATCAGGCTGGTCTCGAACTCCTGACCTCAGGAGATCCACCCGCTTTGGCCTCCCAAAGTGCTGGGATTATAGGCATGAGCCACCGCACCAGGCAGAAGATATTCTTCAAGAGGAGATCTGTGCTGGATGGCAGGAAAGGACAGGTTAATCTGACAAGAGTGCCTGGGACAAGAAGAGACAAGGGGATGCCTCTGATAGTGTGGCCACTCTGAGAAGGCTGCATAGATCTGAAGGATCAGGAGGACCCAGCCTTACAGAGATCTACGGATAGGTCATATAAGGCCAATGCAGGTGCTGGGCAGGATGAGACGGTGTGCCCAGGAGCAGCAAGCCAGCCAGCAGCCAGAGTGCAGTGAGTCCGGAGTCAAGAGGTGGGATGTGAGGGTGGTAAGGTGGGCAGAGGCTCCACCACCGTGGAGCTCTGTCAGCCACAGTCAGAGTTGTGTTTTCTTCTAAAGGGGATGGGAAACCTCTGTCAGGTTTCAAGCAAGGATGTGATGTCAAAGATCACTCTGACTACTGTGTGGAGAGTGGGTTGTCCGGAGCAACAGGGAAAGCAGGTGGGCTCTATAGGAGGCTGCTCCATTTCCTGGCATCTTAGTCCATTCAGGCAGCTATAACAAAATGCCATAGACTGGGTGGCTTATGAACAACAGGAATTTACTTCTCACAGTTACAAAGTCTGGGAATTCCAAGATCAAGGCATTGGTGGATTCAGTGTGTGGTAATGGACTATTTCCTGGCTCACAGAGGCTGCCTTCCTGCCTTGTCCTCACATGGTGTAAGAGGCCTCCTTTGTAAGGGCACTAATCCCATTTATAAGGACTTCACTCTCATGACTTACTCACCTCCCCAAAGACCCCACCTTCTCATTCCATCACTTTGGGGGCTAGAATTTCAACATCTGAATTTTGGGGGGACATAAATATTCAGACTGTAGCACTTGGTCAAGAGACAGTGGAGATTCAGACCAAATGGACGTGGTGAGAAGTGGGTAGATATGAAGATCTTTTGAAAGATAGATTTGAGGAGAAGTTAAAAATTCAAGTTAGAGTGCTGGGGACATTATCTTCTGCACTTCCAGGAGCAACACACTTTAGTTAGGGAATGAGACTTATCCAAGTGTAGCAAGAACTTGGTAGGTACCAATAACTATGATCATAGTAAGAAAACAGCTAAAATGTACACTTCGCAGAATACAAGTCTTCACATGTCTTACTTCAAATCAATAAAAATCCACACAGCAATGGAATTCTGGATAGTTTCTCCCTTGATCAAATATACCGAATCATACATTCATTACGTAGCCTTTGAGTCCTACTGTTGATACATACTCACTTCTTTTTATTATCTACATTTTTAGATAATACTCACTTCTTTTTATTCTCTACATTTTCACAACATGATGCCATAACACGTAATGCCACTTATTTATTCATTTTTAATACTAACAATAGGTTTTCTCTGTGAAAAAACAGTGCTTTATTAGAAGTTTCAGAAACAAGACAATTGAGTTAGGAATTTTGCTTAGATGTGTTATATTTATATGCCTAATTTTTAAAAAACTGTTAGTAGCATCTACAAGCTATTCCAAAGAGATTAAAGGACTTATAAACACTGGAAAATGTAATTTAATATGTAAGTAATAATATAAGGATTTTTTAAAAGTCTTAATATACTATTTTTGAACCTTGATTATGCACGAAGTACCTTATAAAACACACTCAGCTGTACACAACAATACAAACATATACACCCCTCTCCATTTACAATGATGGGTAAAGTGGGGAAAACTGTAAAATGAATATGGAACTATAAATTAGAAGACACTGTTTGGAACTTGCCAAGCCTCACCCTGCCTCTGATTCTTCCCCTATAAAAAAAATAGGCTAGGCACTGTGGCTCACGCCTGTAATCCCAACACTTTTGGAGGCTGAGGCAGGTGGATTACTTGAGGTCAGGAGTTCGAGACCAGCCTGGCCAACATGGTGAAACCCCCCATCTCTACTAAAAATACAAAAATTAGCCAAGCATGGTGGCGTGTGCCTGTAATCCCAGTTACTCAGGAGGCTAAAGCAAGAGAATTGCTTGAGCTCGGGAGGCAGAGGTTGCAGTGAGCTGAGATTGCACCACTGCACTCCAACCCCGGCAGGAGAGCAAGACTCCATCTGGAAAAATAATAATAATAATATTTGTGAAAAATGTATTCACCCTGTTTACTTCACAGGTGTATTTTAAGGATGAAACAAGATAAATACATGCAAAAGTATTTCCTAAACGTTAAAGTATTATACAAATATATTATTTTTTAGAGGAAAAAAGCTAAAAAAGCAATTAAAATGCAAAACTATTAGCCTTAAAGTCAAATTATTTACTTGCCATTTTACTCTTTTTTTTGTATTTTTTTCTGCTTGTTTACCTAGTCTTTGGGAAAGGTTTCAAATATCCTTTAACAAACATTTTCATTGTTTGGCAGGAGGAATAAAAAAAGAAATGGTAGAGTGAATCACATTCAGAATTAACTTGTGACACACATTATCATGTAGCTTTTATGTAAGTAATTAAACTGCATATTATGCTTATTTATTCTAGACATTACGTGTCAAAATTTCATTTGTGCCTGTTTTCCGTTGTTGACAGAAATAGCTGTAATGAAGGTTGTATATTTTACTACTTTTTCACTAATCACTAGAAATAACTAATGAAATAAATGATTAAGAAAAGATGCTTTTAAACATTTTCAGACTTGATCTTTTAACTTTCTACTGGTATTGTGCATCCGGATTCATTATTAGATCAAATAGGAACATAGGATGTCCAAAGGATCAATAAATGTCTTGTGAAACCAGAATGCAGTTCACTGATCATGGTAGAGAAGTCTTAAGCCAACATCTTTAATTCTTTCACCAAAGAAGCACATTCTTAAACCAAAGGAGTTGACGCACTTGTTGGAATGAGCTTCGGACAAGAAACCAGAAAGTCCGTAAGTCCCAGCTTTGCCACTGACTGTGTGTCCTTAGGCAAGTTGTTCTACCTCTCTGATCCTCACTTCGCCCATTCAGTGATCATAGCATTTTTGTCTGTGCACCACACAGCTTTGTTGTAAAGATCAAGTGAGCTGGCAAGTTTGCAAGCACTTCGAAAACAGTGACATGCTAAGCTAAAGCAAGTGTTTCCTCCTGAGCCTTTGGAGTTACTATCTGACAGTGCCTGCTCTGGACTGTAACTTCACACGTAGTTAGCACAGGCTTCATGCTCAAGAGCAGCACCAGTGACTTCCTGCCAACATCCTCTCGGGAAATGATGCCTGCTGGACTGAGCAAGCTTGCTGGACCCTCCCGAGTCCAGGAGGCAACCTGCAGGGGCACCAAACTCCCCTTGCCATGGCACGTTTTCAAGGTTTTGCGATTAAGAAGTTTGGGGACCAGAGGAGTGTGAAAAGTTAGTACCTTAATTGTTGAAAATTCTCAAAGATTCCAAACTTGTAAATCATGAAAGGCCACTGTTTAGCAGGCTGGAATGCTTTTGAAAAAGGCCAGCTATCAGAGATTGGCCTCGTTAATAACCACAGTAAAACTAGCTCTTGAAGCTCAAAGACACAGCTAATCAGGGCAGAAAAATTCAACCTCAAATTAAGAGAGAGAGAGAGAGTGTGTGTGTGTGTGCGCGCGTGTGTGTATGTGTTTCTGAAGTGTAAAAGCTTTTCTCCCAGAGAAGTATGTCTAAGTATATATTGGACATGTTCCAAGACCCACTGTAAGACAAAGCCAGGACTGCAAAAATGTCAAGGTGGGGTTAATCAACTCCCAGAGCGTCTGTGTGCCCATCTGTCCAGTAAAAAGGAATCACCAACTTCCTTACCTAGAAACTGTCTAATCCTAAACTTTCAAAACAGAGACTCAATAGACAGAAATTCACAGAGGATATGTTATAATGCTTTCCTGGATTTTTTTTAAAGTAATAACATATGTATGTGGCCCAGCACAGTGGGTATTTGAGAATTTATTGAGTACATCTACATGTTCTAGATAATGGGGATTTAGATATAAGTATCAGCTGGTTCCTGCCCACAAGAATCTTGTGTCTGCTGCTAATCAGAGCCTGGTACCAAGAAGATCCTCAACATATGTCTAGGTCTTCCATGTTATGAGAAGAGACTTTTCCCTAAGTAAAGGTCAGCTGCAATGGACTCAAAATTTGCCAGTTATAAAGACTATACAAAGGCTTAAAGCCCAGAGTCTATTTGTCAGCTGTCTTCTCAGTTTAAACTTAGAATGTCCCAACAGCCTGAAAGCATAGCCTTGTCAATATCACTGGAAGATTATATTAGTTAGTGAAATGTCCCAGTAGAAAAGAAATAGAGAATTGCTCAGCTGGGCAACCCAATGCCCTCCATCTCGTTACTGATACCGCCTACATGGTACAAACAGTCAATGATATTTTTAAAAGACATAAATTCAGAGGCACTCTGAGTCCAATTCAGTGTGAGCCATGATCAAAGGTCACTTCATGCAAGCAGTATGTGACCAGTGCCCTCCGAGGGGAGCCAGTCCTTGGCTTGGGTGTGCAGGGAGAACATGGTACTTCTGACTGCAGACATTAGATGGGTTTCAAGGGCACAGGGATCTTTGCCCCGTATTTTAATGGATGGCTTGGTTTCTGATGTATGGAAATGGGGACAGAGGGTGGCCCTTGTTATTGACAATGTGGCCCATGGAGCAGAGCATGGGCATCACCTGGAAGTTTGTGAGAAATGCAGAATCTCAGGCACCATCTTACGGAATTAGAATTTGCAATTGAGGTCCCTGGGGAATGAGTCAGTACATCGAAGCTGAGAAGCGCTCTTCTTGACTAGACCACATGGATTTTATTGTGCAGAACATAACGTAGGATAGTTACAGAGAGAAAATGGGATACCTCTGTCATGTGGTCAAATTCTCCAGCTCCTCCCATCATAATGATGATATAACACAAAAATACTTATATCTCTCTGAATCTTGGTGTCTTCATCTGTAAAACTGACTGATAAACTATAGTCTGCCTAATTCACAAGTCTGTTTTGAGAGGCAGTGAGATAACAAATGTGAAAATACTTTAGGTCTGAATACCCATTTTTGCTGACAAGTGGCCAAGACTTTTCTCTTTCAAAGTACTCTTGTTGAAAATGAGGCTTTCGGATGTGACCACAGCTCCCCACATTAACTCTGGTAGTCATGTCTGGTGGAAACACCAGAAAAGCTTCCAGAGAATGACCTCCTGCATGGGAGCAAGCTCCAGGATAATGATGGGCATGGGCAGAACAGAACCTAAAAAGTGCACAGGACTGGGAGCCAGGCCATCTGACAATATCTGGGTGTCTAGGGGATGCACAGACTAAGAAAGCAGAGAGCCTGCCCTCAGGAAGCCTACAATCTAATAAAATTTGTTCTACAGTAGGGCATCAACAGATGTTCTCAAGTGTCCACCCAGCCAGGCACAGTGGCTTATGCCTGTAACCTCTGCACTTTGGGAGGCCAAGGTGGGAAGATTGCTTAAGGCTAGGAGTTTGAGACCAGCCTGACAACATAGTGAGACCCCCCATCTCTACAAAAAATAAAAAAAGTAGCCCGGCATAGTGGCATGTGCCTATAGTCTTAGCTACTTGGGAGGCTGAGAAGGGAGAATTGCTTGAACCCAAGAGTTAGAGGCTGCAGTGAGCTTTGATCACAACCACTGCACCCCAGCCTGAATGACAGAGCAAGATCCTATGTCTAAAAATAAATAAAATAAAATAGTAAAAATAAATAAACTCCCTACCCAATTCCAGGGTAGCCTCAATCTTCTTATAGATTGAGCCACACAGAAGTGGCCCAGGTAGGCCTGGAAGGGGGCAAAGGACTGATACCACCATCCCATGAGGTCCTGTGAAGGAAGACCAAGTTACAAGTAAGCAAGCCATATAGATGTATGCTCCCCTTCACTAGCTTATCTTTTATTTTCTTTATAGCATCTAAAACGCTTATTTTTTGTATTTGTTCATTTTCTGTCTCTATCATTAAAATGTAAAATCCTCAAAAGCAGGGACTTTGAAAGTCTTGTTCGTCATGGTATTTTCAGCACCTAGAACAGTGACTGGCACAAAGGAAGTGCTTAATGAGTCTGCCAAATGAATCAATCCCTTCTGCCCAGATATGGATCTTTCTGGAGCTAATTTAAACTTTTATGTTTGCAATTAGAGTTAAAATCCCCAGTTATCCTTACCTCCTGGTATTTACACCTTATGCTTTGAATCAAGGTGAGTCTGTGTGACCAACAGAATATGGCAGAAGTGATGGTATGTCACTTTTGAGACTAGGTTATAAACGCCTGCAATTTCCATTTTTGTTACTCTGTCACTCCCTTGCCCTTGGGATACTTGCTCTTGAGGGAAATCATTTCATGAGCAACCCTAAGGAGGGAGCCACCTAGTGAGGAGATGGAGTCTCCTGGGTATCCTGCCTACCACCACATGGGTGAGATTGAAATTGAGTGGATCCTCACACTCACTCAAGCCTGCAGAGACTGCAGCCCCAGCTTGACTGCAATCCCATGTGAGATCCTGAGCCAGAGGCATGTACCTGAGCCACAACCAGTTCCTGACACTCAGAAACTATGGGAAAAAATAAATTGTGGGTGTTTTAAACTGCTAAGTTTTGGGGCAATTTGTTATACAGCAATAAATAACTAATACACTGCTACTTAATGGCCACCAACCCCCAGCCGTGATCTCTGATCCCTGGCTGGAAAAAAGGGATGACCCACCCCTCCACCCAACCACAACAGAAGCAGATGAAGAAGCAGGCCAAGATGCTGAGGATATACAAACATGTCTCTGTCCTTAGCAAAAATAGCATCCATCGCCTCTACATTTGCCATGGGAAGGAGACACTGCTAGACCCTGGCTCTTCCCTCTAGCGCAGAGATTTCACATCCCATTGGCGGGTGGTGGGGATCTTTCACTGATTTCCTAATGCTTTTTGGCATTTGGCACTCTGCTTTTAACACTCTACCAAACACAGCTGAGACCTGAATACAACAGAGAAACAACACTTTACTAAGGATTTTGGGAAGATTACAAAGAAATATAGAACACTACCCACTGACAAAATTTTGTTTCCAAAAATGACATATTTATCTTTACACTGGCTCCTTGTACCTCCCAGAGCCCAGAATCTTAGAGTAGCTGTGTAGAAATCTCAATTTCCAACAATTACAATAGCTAAAAAGGCTATTTGAGTCCTATCTGCCTACGTAGGCAGGTGCCTATTGCCGTCTAAGGCCCCAGGACTTCCCTCACTCAACACTGAGAAGTCAGCCATAAGGCAAGACTTCATCTCATCAGCTGTAGCTTACAATCAACCATCCTCAAACACCAGGATATCACATAAACATTCTCATCCCAATGGGATGAGATCCCAATGCTAACAGAGGATGGGGCCATTTCCCTCACAACCTCTACATCAGCTAGCTTCATCTGGGAGAAACAACACTTCATCTACGTCCAAGACGTTCTCTTCCACCTTTCAGCAAAAAGAAAGGCCAAAGATTAACTGATGGTTCTAATCACAGAGCTGATGGACAAGCCAGGTCTAGAATTCTTCTCCTTGGCAGACCTGAAACTCATTTCTAGTCACACGACCTGCTGGCATCTCCCAGTAATAGGTGAATTGTACATTCTATCCCATGACTGTACAACCTCAAAACTGGGATCTCAGAAGTTGTCTAGCTCAGCCACCTACTCGGTGCTGAAACTCCCACTGCAGAACCTTCCTGGACATTCCAAGTGACAGGATGCCTACTACCTCCAGAGATCACTGATCCCATTCTAGGATGCCTCTAATATTAGAGAGCTTTGGCGCCTAATGAGCTGAAATTATCCCCCCACCTAATACATGCACCCAATGCCTTCCAATATTGGGTGCAGCTCTACCGTCTGGCCCTACCTTGTCCCTCTGCTCCATGGCAGCCCATCAAAGAAGTAGTGACAGTGCCTGGGCTACCCCAACATTATGTCTTTACCATCCATCTTCAGAAGACATTGTTGGAAGGGCTTTCATCCAATCATTCACTCTTCTCCTCTTCTATCCTTGGGGATATGAATAATCAAAACAGAGTACCATCCTCCAGACAAGGTCCAGCCAATGCAAAATAAAGCTGGATTTTTACTTCCTCTGGTGTCATTACCATAATTCTATTATAATAATGCAAGTTTTACACGAACTTATTTAGAAACTATATTACCCTATTGGTTCACAGTAATCTTGTGGTAAAAAAAAAAAAAAAAAAAGCTTCTTTTTGTATAAACTGCTGTTAAGCCAGGTACAACCACCCAATCTTTGAAAACTCACTTTGAGGACCTAATTCAAGACCACATATTTCTTTTAATTGAACAAATTTTTTTTTCTTTTTCTTTTTTTTTTTTTTTTTGAGACAGGGTCTTGCTCTTTCACCCAGGCTGGAGTGCTGGAGTTCAGTAGCACAATCTCAGTTCACTGCAACCTCTGCCTCCCGGGCTCAAGCAATCCTCCCACATCAGCCTCCCGAATAACTGGGACCAACCACAGGTACACACCACCACGCCCAGCTAATTTTTGTATTTTTTGTAGAGGCAGGGTTTCACCATGTTGCCTAGGCTGATCTTGAACTCCTGGGCTCAAGCAATCCACCTACCTTAGCCTCCCAAAGTGCTAGGATTACAGGCGTGAGCCACTGCATATGGCCCAAAAATTCTTTATACAAAGTATTAATAGATACCAACCTACAATACTCTTATACAAATAAAATAAAATCATATGTATAAAGTTGTATTCATAAAGGTAAGTATGCTAAACTGAAAGCTACACAGCAATGAAAAACATTAACAGCAAATGCAAATAAAAATAAAGCTATTTTCTGAGGTTGGGCGCAGAGGCTCATGCCTGTAATCCCAGCACTTTGGGAGGCTGAGCTGGGAGGATCGCTTGAGCTCAGGAGTTGGAGACCACCCTGGACAACATAGAGACAACCCCTGTCTCTACGAACAATTTTAAAATTAGTCAAGTGGGATGGTATATGTCTGTACTCTGAGCTACTCAGGACGCTGAGGTGGAAGGATCCTTTGAGCCCAGGAGGTCAAAGCTACAGTGAGCTGTGATTGTGCTGCTGTGCTCCAGCCTGCTTGACACAGCGAGACCCTATCTCAAAAACAAACAAACAGGCTGGACACGGTGGCTCGTGGCTGTAATCCCAGCACTCTGGGAGGCCTAGGGAGGTGAATCACCTGAGCCCCCAATTTCAAGACCAGCTATGAGTAACGTTGTGAAACCCCGTGTCTATTAAAAATACAAAAATTAGCTTGGCATGGTAGCCTGCACCTGTAGTCCCAGCTACTTGGGAGGCTGAGGTGGGCGGATGGCGTATGCCCGGGAAGTCAAGGCTGCAGTGAGCTGTGATCGCACCACTGCATTCCAGCCTGGGCAACAGAGTGAGACCCTGTCTCAAAAAACAACAAACAGCCAGACACAGTGGTTCACGCCTGTAATCCCAGCACTTTGGCAGGCAGAGGTGGGCAGATCACCTGAGGTCAGGAGTTTAAGATCAGCCTGACGAACATGGAGAAACCGCATCTCTACTAAAAAACAAAAATTTAGCTAGGCATGGTGGTGCACTCCTGTGGTCCCAGCTACTCGGGAGGCTGAGGCAGGAGAATCACTTGAACCTAGGAGGCAAAGTTGCAGTGAGCCAAAACTGCGCCACTGCACTCCAGCCTGGGCGACAGAGTGAAACTCCCTCTCAAAACAAACAAACATACAAACAAAAAGATATTCTCATGTTTCATTAAGCATCCAAACTAGCCAATCTTTTAGTCCTTTCCTTCTACACTATTTTGTATCCTCATTTTCTGCATCTGATTGGATTCTTGGATTTTATTTCACTTTCTGTGTGACATTCTCCACAGATACACCTCATTGACTGCTGCTGTGGGATGTCCCTATGCAGCACAGAGAAACTTCTCATTCCACACTTGTAAACAGAACTCGCCACATTACTGCCCAGGACTGTATGTTTATCTCTGTTGAATTGCACTCCACTGACTCTAACCAGTAATCCCAGTCTCCGGGGATTTTTAAAGAACTATTTCAGATATGCTCAAAAATATAGATGGCCAGGTGCGGTGGCTCATGCCTGTAATCCCAACAATTTGGGAGGCCGAGGTGGGTGGATCACATGAGGTCAAGAGTTCAAGACCAGCCTGGACAACATGGCAAAACCCGTCTCTACTAAAAATACAAAAAATTAACCAGGTACAGTGGTGGGCACCTGTAATCCCAGCTACTCAGGAGACTGAGGCTGGAGAATCCCTTGAACCTGGGAGGCAGAGGTTGCAGTGAGCCAAGATGGTGCCACAGCACTTCAGCCTGCGTGACAGAGTGAGACTCCACCCCCCCAAAAAATTATATATATATATTATATATATATAATATGTTTTATACATACATTATATATATAATACAAGTTTTATATATGTTATATATTATATAAAATATGTTTTATATATATTATATAATATAATATATTTTATATATGTTTTATATATATTATATAAAATATATGTTTTATATATTATATAAAAATATAAATAAATATTATAAATTATATATTATTATAGTATATATTATATATAATATATTCCATATTATACTATCTTATATTATACATATTATATATCATACTATATACAATATAATATATTATATATCATATTATATACAATATAATATATTATATATCATACCATAAATAATATATTATATATACTATACTACATATAATATTATATAATATATAATATTATATTATATATATTTATTAGATATAATATAATATATAATATTATATTATATATATTTATTATATATAATATAATCTATAATACAATATTATATATTATATATAACATAATATAGATAATATATGATATATATTATATATTATATATAATATATATTGTATATAATATTATATATAATATATGATATATATTATATAATATATAATTTAGATAATATATTATATATATTATATTATATTACATATAATATATAATATTTTATATTATATTATATTACATATAATATATAATATTTTATATTATATTATATTATATTACATATAATATATAATATTATATATTATATTATATTATATATAATATAATATATAATATTTTATATTATATTATATTATATATAATATAATATATAATATTTTATATTATATTATATTATATATAATATATAATGTAAACTATATAATTATATTATATATTATATTATATATTATAATAAATAATGTATAATATAAAATTATATTATATATTATGTTATATAATATAATAAAATATTGTATATAACATATATTATATATTATATATTATATATTATATTATTATATAGTATATAATTATATAATATTATATATTATACAATATATAATATATCATATAATTATATATTATACATTATATAATATATCATATAATTATATATTATACATTATATATTATAATATATAATATATCATATATCATATATTATACATTATATATTATAATATATAATATATCATATATCATATATTAAATATTATATATATAAGATATAATATATCATATATGATATATTATATTTATAATATATATAATATATAATATATATAAAATATAATATATTATATATTATATATATTATGTATATAATATAAAGTATATATTATATAAATATAATATAATATATTATATATGTAATATAATAATATAATATTATATAATAAAAATATGATATAACATAATATTATATATTAAATTATATTATATATTATATATAATATTATATTATATATTAATATTATATTATATATTATATATAATATATAACACAATATTATATTATATATAGATATTATATTATATATTATATATAATATATATTATAATATTATATCTTACATATTATATATTATATAATATTATATCTTACATATTATATATTATATAATATTATGTCTTACATATTATATATTATATAATATTATGTCTTACATATTATATATTATATAATATTATATCTTACATATTATATATTATATGATATCATATCTTATATATCATATAGCATATAATATTATATCTTATATTATATATTATATATTATATTACATTATATATTATATATTACTATATATTATATAATATATAATATTATATATTATATAACATTATATATCATACAATATGTAATATTATATATTACATATTATACAATATTATATATTATATTATTTTATATATTATATTATAATATATATTATATTATACTATAGTCTATATTATAAATTATATAATATTATATATAATATAATATTAAATTATATATTATATATTATATGTAATATCATACTATATTATATATTATATATTATATAAAATATCATATTATATTATATATTATATATTATGTATTATTTCGTATATTATATATTATGTATTATATATTATATCATAATATTATATATTATATATTACATGTAATATAATATTATGTTATATATTATATATTATATAATATAATATGTTATATATTATATATTATAGATAATATAATCTTATATTATATATTATATAGTATAATATATAACATATGATATTATATATTGTATAATATATAATATATATTGTATAATATATATAATGTATAATATATATGTATATAATATATACATATATAATGTATATGTATAATATATATGTTATAGAATATATACTACATATATTTTAGAATATATATATTATATAATATAGAATATATAATATTATATATTAAATATTACATATCTTATATGATATTGTATATTATATATATTATATATCGTATAATAAATAATACATATTGTATATTATATATATTATATATTGTACAATATATAATATTATATATTATATAACATATAATTTATATAATATTATATATCATATAATATATAATTTATATAATATATAAAATATAATATATATAATATATACAATATGGTATATATAATATATAATATATACAATA